>NW_025791795.1:0-104537 GCF_000001405.40 Homo sapiens
CCTTGCAGAGAGAGTAGTAAATACAAAGGTTGCAAAGTGGGAACAAACTTGGGACCATGCTTGAGAAAGCCGGCATGCTGGGGGTAGTAGAATAGCGGTATAGGATGGGGAACCATATGGAATGAAGGTGGTCAAAGTGGGAAGCGGCCAGATCACACAGGGCCTTATAGGCCATGGTCAGGGCTTTGGAAATGATTCCTAGTGGGAGCCCACTGCCGTTTGTTAAACAGAGGAGCAATGCAATCTGATTTAAATTTTTAAAGCCATGACTGGAAACCTACTGAGCAAGCCAAGGCTGGGGCTCCTCAGCATGGGAGCAGGTAGCAGAGGCTTTATGCCTCCTGGGTTCCACCCTGGTGCTGAGCATGCCCTCTCTCAGGACTCTGCGAGACAGCCTCAGTGGCTGGGACCCGGAGACCCTGGCCCTCCTGCTGAGGGAGGAGCTGCAGGCCTACAAGGCGGTGCGGGCCGACACTGGACAGGAACGCTTCAACATCATCTGTGACCTCCTGGAGCTGAGCCCCGAGGAGACACCAGCCGGGGCCTGGGCACGAGCCACCCACCTGGTAGAACTGGCTCAGGTGCTCTGCTACCACGACTTTACGCAGCAGACCAACTGGTAAGGAGTAGTAGCTGCAGAGGCCACTCTTGCTCCTTGCCCTAGGTCCTCTCACCCTCTTGAGAACCAGTTTCCCTCTCCACAGCCCTGAGCTCTCCCTTCATCTTGTGGCCATGGGAGCACATGCAAAGGGCGAGGCCAGCTGTTCTGCAGCTAGCCCTTCCCAGGGCGCTATGGCAGATACTCATAGTAGGCCCAGCTTAAGCACATCTTCTCCCTGCAGCTCTGCTCTGGATGCTATCCGGGAAGCCCTGCAGCTTCTGGACTCTGTGAGGCCTGAGGCCCAGGCCAGAGATCAGCTTCTGGACGATAAAGCACAGGCCTTGCTGTGGCTTTACATCTGTACTCTGGAAGCCAAAATGCAGGAAGTGAGTGTGGCTGCTGTGGGGCTCACCAGAACTGGGTGTAGGAATTACTGTCCCTGGGCCCCCAACAAGTTGGTATCAGCCCTTTTTTTTGTTCGTTATTTTTAGAGATGGGGTCTCTCTGTTGCCCAGGCTGGTCTTGAACTCCTGGGCTCCAACAATCCTCCCACCTCAGCCTGCCGAGTAGCCAGGACGATAGGCCCACACCACTGTGCCCTGTTTTATACCCCGATCTTCCCATCCAGGGTATCGAGCGGGATCGGAGAGCCCAGGCCCCTGGTAACTTGGAGGAATTTGAAGTCAATGACCTGAACTATGAAGATAAACTCCAGGAAGATCGTTTCCTATACAGTAACATTGCCTTCAACCTGGCTGCAGATGCTGGTGAGGGGTAAATGGAGTGTGGCATGGGCATCTCCATGGCTTCCTAAGAGTGGAACAGGGACCCCTGGTGAGGGAAACCCTGACCTTGTAGGGTAGGAGGTTGTGGAAGCAGTGGGAGGTTGGCGTAAAGGGCAGAGGATGTTATGGAGGAAGGGAAGTTCTCTCCAGATGGCCCATGCTGAGACAGCAGTCATTTTCTTCTGGCTTAACAGCTCAGTCCAAATGCCTGGACCAAGCCCTGGCCCTGTGGAAGGAGCTGCTTACAAAGGGGCAGGCCCCAGCTGTACGGTGTCTCCAGCAGACAGCAGCCTCACTGCAGATCCTAGCAGCCCTCTACCAGCTGGTGGCAAAGGTAATGGGGTGGGGCATTGAGGGGGACCCATATAAACAAGGACTAGACCAGAAACAGCTCCCTCGCCTTCTTTGGCCTGTGATCCTCCTGAGAAGCCATGAAAGCCAGTGATGGAAGCGCAGGGCTGTATCACCAGTCTTATTTTAAATCCAAGCTCCCTCATTCATTAGTGTATGGCCTTGGGCAAGTTGCTTAACCTAAGCCCAAGTTTCCTTATCTCTAAAATAGGGGCCATGCTACTGCCTCGTGGCGTTATTATTCAGTGCAGCAGTGCATGGAAGAGGTATTGTGTAAATGGTATGCTCAAATGTTAGCTTTAGTCTGGGCAACACGGCGAAACCCCGTCTCTACAAGAAATAAAAAAAATATAGCCCGGTGCGGTGGCATGTGCCTGTAATCCCAGCTACTCAGGTGGCTGAGGCAGGAGAATCCCTTGAGCCAGGAGGTAGAGGTTGCAGTGAGCCAAGATCGCGCCACTGCACTCCATCCTGGGGGACAGAGCAAGATGCTGTTTCACGCTATTTCATTAAAAAAAAAAAAGTTAGCTTTAATTATTAGATGATTTGTTACCTATCAGAAAAATACATAGATGCCTTTAGACACAATTTTACATTCTTACATTCTTATGTGTGCCTTCTTTTTTTTTTTCAAGATGGAGTCTCACTCTGTCGCCCAGGCTGGAGTGCAGTGGCGCAATCTGGGCTCACTGCAACTTCCGCCATCTGGGTTCAAGTGATTCTCCTGCCTCAGCCTCCTGAGTAGCTGGGACTACAGGCACGCAACCACGCCTGGCTACTTTTTTGTATTTTTAGTATAGACAGGGTTTCACCATATTGGCCAGGCCGGTCTCGATCTCCTCAGGTGATCCACCCGCCTCAGCCTCCCAAAGTGCTGGGATTACAGGCGTGAGCCACCGCACCCAGCTTTCCGCCCCGCCCCCCCGCCGAGATAGAGTCTTGCTCTGTTACCCAGGCTGGAGTGCAGTGGCGTGATCTCAGCTCACTGCAACCTCCACCTCCTGGGTTCAAGCGATTCTCCTGGCTCACTCAGCCTCCTGAGTAGCTGGGACTACAGGCGCATACCACCACACCCTGCTAATTTTGTATTATTGGTAGAGATGGGGTTTCACTATGTTGGCCAGGCTGATCTCGAACTCCTGATCTCAGGTGACCCGTCTGCCTCAGCCTTTCAAAGTGCTGGGGTTACAGGCATGAGCCACTGTGCCTGGCCTATAAGGCCATGTACATTCTTATTTCAGGGAGTTTCACAAAATTCCTGAAGCTCTACCCTAGACTCCACATTAGGAAACAAACAAACAAACAAAAAGCCTTTATACATGCTGTTAACTATGAGCTATTAAACCATATTTCTAGCAGGGGAAGCTACCTCAGCCCTAGATTTGAGACTTGGTTCTGCCACATACCTGTTATATGAACTTAGACAAGCAACTTAACCCATGTGAGTCTTAGCTTCCTGTACTGTAAAATTGGGATTAGACTTGTTATGAAGGTTAAATGCACTGATGCATGTAAGCCTGGGCACAGTGCCTGGCACATAGTAAGAACTCAGAAAATCCTGGCTATTGATGATGAATGGCATCTAGGCTTTAAAACAGTAGGGGTGGGGTGATGATTGCTTCATCTGGGTAACTACATTCCACCCAGGCCCTGAGGTCAAACTACAGTCCAAGGTCCCAAAGGGCTGGGGAGCAGAGGGTAGAAATAGAGGCTTGAGCAGGGGTGGAGTAAACTTGGCTGCTTCTGCTGACCAGCCCATGCAGGCTCTGGAGGTCCTCCTGCTGCTACGGATTGTCTCTGAGAGACTGAAGGACCACTCGAAGGCAGCTGGCTCCTCCTGCCACATCACCCAGCTCCTCCTGACCCTCGGCTGTCCCAGCTATGCCCAGGTGAGTGCCCAACCAGCCTAGTCTGGGGACTGCAGGGGGCCCGTAGCTTTAGAGGCCCACCTCTGAGAAGACAGGATATCAAAGGGGCAGCTTCTCGGCCTTTTACCACCACAACTGGCTGGAGAATTGTGGAGTGTGGAGCAGTTGGAGGCAGCTGTAAGAAGGGGAGTCATCTTTGTCCTTCCTGCAAAACCAGTTGTTCATTAAGTTTACAGACTGCTGCAGGAACCTACCGCCAGTCTTGTATTTCCTAACTGGTTCTGTTGCCCTAGTTGATGCTTCATTGCTCATGTAAAGCTATCACAGTGTCTCCTGGTTGGTCTCCTTGCCTCCAGTTTCTCCCTTTTCTACTTCGTCTTCTTAACGACCACTGGTAGGCACAGGTGTGATGTAATCTCTTTCCTGCTTAACCCTGTTCCCTTTTGCCCCAATAATACTTGCCAGCGCTTACGGCTGCAGTGTTTACCCCTGGATAACTTTGCCACAAAATATCTCACTCTTACTATTTTTGCATCACTCTAGTATATTGACTTTGGAAACAGAAGACATCATTCTGTTTATAGCATTCTGTTTTTAGTGGTGTCATTTCCATTTCCATTTCCATTTCCACTTCCACGTCACCCTCCCGAGTAACTGGGACTACAGGTACATGCCACCACACCTGGCTAATTTTTAAATGTTTTGTAGAGACAGAGTCTCACTATGTTGCCCAGGCTGGTCTTGAACTCCTGGGCTCAAGTGATCTCCCACCTCAGCCTCCCAAAGTACTGATAATACAGGCATGAGCCACCGTGCCCAGCTACTGCTTACTCTGTATATAGCTTTAATCTAAAAGTGGTTAACCAGGCTGAGCGCAGTGGCTCACACGTGTAATCCCAGCATTTTGGGAGGCTGAGGTGGGCAGATCACCTGAGGTCAGGAGTTGGAGACCAGCCTGACCAACATGGAGAAACCCCGTCTCTACTAAAAATACAAAATTAGCCAGGTATGGTGGCGCATGCCCGTAATCCCAGCTACCTGGGAGGCTGAGACAGGAGAGCACTTGATCCCGGGAGGCGGAGGTTGCGGTGAGCTGAGATCACACCATTGCACTCCAGCCTGGGCAACAAGAGCGAAACTCCGTCCTAAAAAAAAAAAAGTGGTTAACCAAGTGTTAAATGGACATTTTAGAGAGTGAATCAATAACTCCTATGCAGATTATAATATCTGAAATAATGTAATATTTATTGGACATGTTGAACATTTTGCTTGTAAATACTTTACTCCACTTTTTTTTTTTTTTTTTTTTTGAGACGGAGTCTCACTCTGTTGCCCAGGCTGGAGTGCAGTGGCGCGATCTCCATTCACTGCAACCTCTGCCTCTCGGGTTCAAGTGATTCTCATGCCTCAGCCTCCCGAGTAGCTGGGATTACAGGCGCGTGCCACCACACCTGGCTAATTTTTGTATTTTTAGTAGAGATGGGGGTGTCACCATGTTGGCCAGGCTGGTCTTGAACTCCTGACCTCAGGTGATCCGCCCACCTTGGCCTCCCAAAGTGCTGGGATTACAGGTGTGAGCCACATGGCCACCCTTATTTACTCCAGTTTTGTTTGAAGAGCCTGGCTGCCTTTCCTCATGTGCCCTCTGATTGCTTCCTTAGTTACACCTGGAAGAGGCAGCATCGAGCCTGAAGCATCTCGATCAGACTACTGACACATACCTGCTCCTTTCCCTGACCTGTGATCTGCTTCGAAGTCAACTCTACTGGACTCACCAGAAGGTATTTCTCACTTTCTTAAACTCCGAAGGCCCTGGGTATTAGAAAGAATTTAGGATTTTCTTGATATTTGCCTGGCTTTTGAGATTTCCCTGGAGCTAGGCAGTATGTTCCTGACCCTGAGAGGCAGGCATATTTCCTAGCCTTGCCCTCGCCAGCGATTTGCTCACCAGTCCTCCTCTGGTAGAGATACAGTCCTTTTCCTTCTTCAGGGGCAAGGGGGAAAGTCTGTCCTGTGACGAAAAGCTGGGACAATGGTGATCCTGGGAAGGCATGGGAGCTCTGGACTAGAAATCCAGGGGATGGCAAAGACTTGAGTTTTCTCCCAAACTAGTTGTGTGACTTGGGCACGTCTTCTACCTTCTCATGCTCTAGTTTCTTCTCTACGTTTTTATCATTCCTAAATTGGCGGACAAGTCACTGGTGAGGGCAAAGCTAGGAACTGTTACTGCTTCTCAGGGTCAGGAACATTCTGCCTAGGTCCAGGGAGATCTCGAAAGCCAGGCAAATATTCAGAAAATTCTAAAATCTTTCTAATACCCAGGGCCTTCAGGGATGGGGCCACGTAATCTCCAGGGCCTCTCAAGCTCTGGAGTGCCTGACTGCCTTACTGCCTCCTCTGGCTCCTTCTCTCCTTCAGGTGACCAAGGGTGTCTCTCTGCTGCTGTCTGTGCTTCGGGATCCTGCCCTCCAGAAGTCCTCCAAGGCTTGGTACTTGCTGCGTGTCCAGGTCCTGCAGCTGGTGGCAGCTTACCTTAGCCTCCCGTCAAACAACCTCTCACACTCCCTGTGGGAGCAGCTCTGTGCCCAAGGTGAAAGAATAGGGTGGATGGCCCCCCTTGGATGACATGTATGGTCTGTCTGCTGTCAGCTCTTCTCAAACCTCATCCCCTCTGCTGGCTAACTATGTGGCCCAGCCTACCTAGAACCTGCACAGAGTAGGCCTGGGATAGCAGATGGGTTTCAGTTTGCCTGCTGACTCTAAACAATTGGTGACTGCCTGGAATACTAGGCTGAAAGGATTTTTTTTTCTTTTCTTTTTTTTCTAAGACGGAGTTTCGCTGTTGTCACCCAGGCTGGAGTGCAATGGTGCAATCTCAGCTCACTGCAACCTCTGCCTCCTGGGTTCAAACGATTCTCCTGCCTCAACCTCCTGAGTAGCTGGGATTACTGGCATGCGCCACTACGCCCGACTAATTTTTGTATTATTAGTAGAGGTGGGGTTTCACCATGTTGGCCAGGCTGGTCTCAAACTCCTGACCTCGGGTGATCCGTCTGCCTCAGCCTCCCAAAATGCTGGGATTACAGGCTTGGGCCACTGCGCCCAGCCAGCTGAAAGGATTCTGAGACCCCAGGGGATCTCAGAGGGAAGGAGTTATGAGATTGATTAGCTCTGCCTGCCTTAATGCAGAAGGAAGCATGGGAAGCAGGCTTTGCTGCCTTAGTAGCTAAAAGTGGTGAAGTTCTGGCTGCATCTTCTCCCTTTTTCACCCCACCCACCACAGGCTGGCAGACACCTGAGATAGCTCTCATAGACTCCCATAAGCTCCTCCGAAGCATCATCCTCCTGCTGATGGGCAGTGACATTCTCTCAACTCAGAAAGCAGCTGTGGAGACATCGTTTTTGGACTATGGTGAGTCTGGGGAGGACAGCAGGGCCCTCTTGGAATGGACAGGCTATGTGAGAGGGCTGCGGTTTTTTCTCCAGAGGATCCACACTGTGGCTGAGTGATGGTGGTCTTGTCTCTTTTGCTACAGGTGAAAATCTGGTACAAAAATGGCAGGTTCTTTCAGAGGTGCTGAGCTGCTCAGAGAAGCTGGTCTGCCACCTGGGCCGCCTGGGTAGTGTGAGTGAAGCCAAGGCCTTTTGCTTGGAGGCCCTAAAACTTACAACAAAGCTGCAGATACCACGCCAGTAAGTACAGGGCCAGAGGATATGGCAATGATGGCACCAAAGTGCCATGCACCCTTGAACATGGATTCCAAACTGTTCCACAGATTACATGCTATGTTTAGATACATTCGTGGAAAAAGGCATTCCACAGCTAAATAAGTGGGAAATGCTGAGTTAATCAAGGTTAGATGTTTTTATTTCCTGTAGGACTCTCGTGTCCTTCAGTATGCGGATGTGCCTTGCAAATCTCCAAAAGGGAGATCTAGTGTACAGTGTTTCCCTAAGAATGTTTTCCCACAGGATTCTTTTATTGAGGAATGCAGTTTGGGAAATCCTGTCCCAAGGCACAAGGAGAGTTGGGATTAGAGAGAAGTGTAGAGGGTTTTCCCCAGGGAGCCTTTAAGTCAGCTTAAGGGAGTGAATGCCTTTTGGAGGCAGGGAAGGACTCAGGTAGCTTGGCCTGGGAAAGAGGCAAAGAGAAAGACTCTCCAGGAAAACAAAGGATTCCTCTGATTGGTTCTCCTCTCCTCTCTCAACAAGGTGTGCCCTGTTCCTGGTGCTGAAGGGCGAGCTGGAGCTGGCCCGCAATGACATTGATCTCTGTCAGTCGGACCTGCAGCAGGTTCTGTTCTTGCTTGAGTCTTGCACAGGTGAGCAGCCATGTCCCCATGACCATAGGCGGTGCTGAAATGACACACACTACAGCACATCTTTCTATGTAAAGGTTTCGTTGCCTTTTTTTATTTTTGAGACAGAGTCTCACTTTATTACCCAGGCTGGAGTGCAGTGGCGTGATCTTGGCTCACTGCAACCCCTGCCTCCTGCCTCCTAGGTTCAGGTGATTCTCCTGCTTCAGCCTCCCAAGTAGCTGGGACTACAGGCATGCGCCACCACACCCGGATAATTTTTTTTATTTGTAGTAGAGATGAGGTTTCACTATGTTGGCCAGGCTGGTCTCGAACTCCTGACCTCAGGTGATCCACCCGCCTCGGCCTCCTAAAGTGCTGGGATTACAGGCATGAGCCACCGCTCCCGGCCTTTGTTCCCTTTTTAATCAGATACTGACTTCTGGTCCCAGGGCAACATTCCCTTGACTTTAGTCCAACCATTGGTCTCCCTCTTTCAGAGAGCCTGTCCCAGACTTACCCTAGTTCTAGTTTTCAGTGCTTCCTAATACATTTTGGCTATTTAAATTTGATTTAGATAATATTTAGGGCCGGGCTCGGTGGCTCATGCCTGTAATCCTAGCACTTTGGGAGGCTGAGGCAGGCGGATCATGGGGTCAGGAGTTCAAGACCAGCCTGGCCAACAAAGTGAAACCCCATCTCTACTAATAATACAAAAATTAGCCAGGCATGGTGGCGGGCACCTGTAATCCCAGCTACTCAGAAGGCTGAGGCAGGAGAATAGCTTGAACCTGGGAGGCGGAGGTTGCAGTGAGGAAGATTGCACCATTGCACTCCAGCCCGGGTGACAGTGCGAGACTCTGACTCAAAAAAAAAAAAAAAAAGAAGAAAGAAAGAAAGAAAGATAATATTTAGAATTCAGTCCTCAGTCACACTAGCCACACTTCATGTGCTCAATAGCCACATGGCTAGTGGCTACCGTATTGAGTAGCACAAACATATCCTCAGGAGGGCTGAAGCTAATAATAAAACATTGCATTGATGGCACATTTTGTCTCCCCAATCACATATACTTCTAGTACTTCATTTGCCCCACACTAGACCTCATAAAGCTGAGTGGGAGCATAGATTATTTTCATTTGTTAAATGAGAAAGTTGAGAAGTCTATGTTTGGGGCCAGCATCACAGGGTAGGAGGCAGGATTCAGGTGTGGGCCTGCTGGGGCCAGCCTGCTTTTCTCAGCCATGTGGCCCCTGAGCTGCAGGTGTGGGGGCTTTGTGGCCTGCATTTGATCCATTGTTGGTTGGAAAGAAAACAAAAATTTTACCTCCAAGGCGGGCGGATCACAAGGTCAGGAGATCGAGACCATTCTGGCTAACACGGTGAAACCCCGTCTCCACTAAAAAATACAAAAAATTAGCCGGGCGTGGTGGTGGGCGCCTGTAGTCCCAGCTACTCGGGAGGCTGAGGCAGGAGAATGGCATGAACCCGGGAGGCGGAGCTTGCAGTGAGCTGAGATTGTGCCACTGCACTCCAGCCTGGGCGACAGAGAGAGACTCCATCTCAAAAAAAAAAGAAAAAAAGAAAAAGATTTTACCTAAAAAATAATAAGCCATACTAATATTTGATATGTTATACAGTAATACATATATATACACACATATATATACACGTACGTATATAAAACACATATATTAGAGAATTGGGCCCCAAGGTCGCTCAGGAAGTGCTTGATGCCATTTCTCCCCGTTTTGTAATTCTTGTTCTGCCTTCTCCCCAGAGTTTGGTGGGGTGACTCAGCACCTGGACTCTGTGAAGAAGGTCCACCTGCAGAAGGGGAAGCAGCAGGCCCAGGTCCCCTGTCCTCCACAGCTCCCAGAGGAGGAGCTCTTCCTAAGAGGCCCTGCTCTAGAGCTGGTGGCCACTGTGGCCAAGGAGCCTGGCCCCATAGCACCTTCTACAAACTCCTCCCCAGTCTTGAAAACCAAGCCCCAGCCCATACCCAACTTCCTGTCCCATTCACCCACCTGTGACTGCTCGCTCTGCGCCAGCCCTGTCCTCACAGCAGTCTGTCTGCGCTGGGTATTGGTCACGGCAGGGGTGAGGCTGGCCATGGGCCACCAAGCCCAGGGTCTGGATCTGCTGCAGGTCGTGCTGAAGGGCTGTCCTGAAGCCGCTGAGCGCCTCACCCAAGCTCTCCAAGCTTCCCTGAATCATAAAACACCCCCCTCCTTGGTTCCAAGCCTCTTGGATGAGATCTTGGCTCAAGCATACACACTGTTGGCACTGGAGGGCCTGAACCAGCCATCAAACGAGAGCCTGCAGAAGGTTCTACAGTCAGGGCTGAAGTTTGTAGCAGCACGGATACCCCACCTAGAGCCCTGGCGAGCCAGCCTGCTCTTGATTTGGGCCCTCACAAAACTAGGTGGCCTCAGCTGCTGTACTACCCAACTTTTTGCAAGCTCCTGGGGCTGGCAGCCACCATTAATAAAAAGTGTCCCTGGCTCAGAGCCCTCTAAGACTCAGGGCCAAAAACGTTCTGGACGAGGGCGCCAAAAGTTAGCCTCTGCTCCCCTGCGCCTCAATAATACCTCTCAGAAAGGTCTGGAAGGTAGAGGACTGCCCTGCACACCTAAACCCCCAGACCGGATCAGGCAAGCTGGCCCTCATGTCCCCTTCACGGTGTTTGAGGAAGTCTGCCCTACAGAGAGCAAGCCTGAAGTACCCCAGGCCCCCAGGGTACAACAGAGAGTCCAGACGCGCCTCAAGGTGAGGTGGGACTGTTGCTAGGTGGTGGTGATGGTGTTGGATGGGGTTAGTCCTGGAGGAGAGTGTTTTATAGAGCAGGTGTCCCTGTGGAATAGCTCCCCAGGGCCTAGTGGAACTTTAATCTCCTGCTATCTGCAGTACCCCAATATCTTGCTTTTTTGTTTTTTGTTGTTTTTTTGAGAAGGAGTCTCGCTCTGTCGCCCAGGCTGGAGTGCAGTGGCGCAATCTCAGCTCACTGCAAGCTCCGCCTCTTGGGTTCACGCCATTCTCCTGCCTCAGCTTCCCGAGTAGCTGGGACTACAAGCGCCTGCCACCATGCCCAGCTAATTTTTTGTATTTTCAGTAGAGACGGGGTTTCACTGTGTTAACCAGGATGGTCTTGATCTCCTGACTTCGTGATCCACCCGCCTCGGCCTCCCAAAGTGCTGGGGATTACCGGCGTGAGCCACCATGCTCAGCCTCTTTTTTTTTTTGAGACGGACTCTCACTCTGTCGCCCAGGCTGGAGTACAATGGTGCGATCTCGGCTTACTGCAACCTCCACCTCCCGGGTTCAAGCAATTTTGCCTCAGCCTCCCGAGTAGCTGGGATTACAGGCGGGTGCCACCACACCCAGCTTATTTATGTATTTTTAGTAAAGACGGGGTTTTACCATGATGGCCAGGCTGGTCTCAAACTCCTGACCTCAGGTGATCCGCCTGCCTCAGCCTCCCAAAGTGCTGGGATTACAGACGTGAGCCACTGTGCCAGGCCAACATCTTTCACAGCAAGACCTATTTCCAAGTCTCCCTTTGTTTCAGACAGAGACATTTTCCTTAACTCTAATGTTTCTTTTACCTTTTCATCCCACCTTCTGTTCCCTCATTTTCTCCCTCCTTCCACACCCAAGAGTCGCTGCCCCTGATCTAGAGTGTTGGCTGTCATGTGAGAAGTTAGTTCTGAAATCTTCCAGGGTCCTGTGTGATGGTGCCTGATGGTGCCTCCACTACGCCACCTGCTGTCACAAGGTGTCTTGTCACTGAAGACCTCTTAGCCCTTCACCCTTTCACTCTGATCTCAGGTGAACTTCAGTGATGACAGTGACTTGGAAGACCCTGTCTCAGCTGAGGCCTGGCTGGCAGAGGAGCCTAAGAGACGGGGCACTGCTTCCCGGGGCCGGGGGCGAGCAAGGAAGGGCCTGAGCCTAAAGACGGATGCCGTGGTTGCCCCAGGTAGTGCCCCTGGGAACCCTGGCCTGAATGGCAGGAGCCGGAGGGCCAAGAAGGTGGCATCAAGACATTGTGAGGAGCGGCGTCCCCAGAGGGCCAGTGACCAGGCCAGGCCTGGCCCTGAGATCATGAGGACCATCCCTGAGGAAGAACTGACTGACAACTGGAGAAAAATGAGCTTTGAGATCCTCAGGGGCTCTGACGGGGAAGACTCAGCCTCAGGTAGGACAGCAAGGGTGAGGTGGAAGGTGCATGTTTTGGGGGTTTGTTCTGGGGCAAAGCACAAGCAGTAAGTGCTGCCAAGGAAGTACAGGAAGAATGTTCTTTTGCTGACTCTAAGGGAGTGGATTACAGAAGGAAGAACAAAGAGAATGGCAGGGGGAGGGAGCACTGTGAAAAAGGCCTGCTCTCTCCCCAGGTGGGAAGACTCCAGCTCCGGGCCCTGAGGCAGCTTCTGGAGAATGGGAGCTGCTGAGGCTGGATTCCAGCAAGAAGAAGCTGCCCAGCCCATGCCCAGACAAGGAGAGTGACAAGGACCTTGGTCCTCGGCTCCGGCTCCCCTCAGCCCCCGTAGCCACTGGTGAATATGCGACCCCTGATGTTGGTCACTTGGAGAGGGCTGAGCCTCTAGGGCTTTTGACCCCTCTGTCTTTCCAGGCTGGGTTCGGATCTGGATCCAGTAGCCTCTGAACCTGTGTTTGAACCCCAGCACTCTGTCTATGAGCTGTGTGCAGGTCACTTAACCTCTCCAAGCTTCTATTCCTTCTGTAAAAATGGGGTTTAGGGAGCATGGTGGAATAAGTTGATGCCTGTTAGTTGCATGGCACCCCACTTGGCACATTGCCCTTCATAAATGGTAGTTGCTGTTTGCCATGTGGGAGATGAGATAGGGACTGTTCCTTCTTGGAAAGTTCCTATCAACTATGAAATAAGGAATTCAGCTGTACCAAGTGTCCTGACGTTCTTCTAGGTCTTTCTACCCTGGACTCCATCTGTGACTCCCTGAGTGTTGCTTTCCGGGGCATTAGTCACTGTCCTCCTAGTGGGCTCTATGCCCACCTCTGCCGCTTCCTGGCCTTGTGCCTGGGCCACCGGGATCCTTATGCCACTGCTTTCCTTGTCACCGAGTCTGTCTCCATCACCTGTCGCCACCAGCTGCTCACCCACCTCCACAGACAGCTCAGGTGGGTGCTGACCATCCCCAAGACTCCTGCTGGGGCAGACTAGAGAGAAGGTCCAGACTTTGAAGGAATGGGACCTCACCCCTCCCCGTGTTGCTTGCAGCAAGGCCCAGAAGCACCGAGGATCACTTGAAATAGCAGACCAGCTGCAGGGGCTGAGCCTTCAGGAGATGCCTGGAGATGTCCCCCTGGCCCGCATCCAGCGCCTCTTTTCCTTCAGGGCTTTGGAATCTGGCCACTTCCCCCAGCCTGAAAAGGAGAGTTTCCAGGAGCGCCTGGCTCTGATCCCCAGTGGTATGCGGGCAGCCTTCTGGCCGGCTCCTCTGTCCTCTTCTGCATCTTCTTACTTGGGAGCTGGGTGAAGGAGTTTTAGGCATTGGTTAGTTTACATAGATTTATGACCCTTATGTCATACCTTTTCACCTGTTAGCATCTTACATCAGGAAGGTTTGTTGTTTTTTTTAAACCTCAACTTTGAATTACCAGCAAATTCAGTGTCTTTCCTCAGAGGTGAGTTCAGATGACTGGGGTCTTCTGTGCTAACATGAAACATATTCACATGATTTGAGTGCCTCACTTTGTTAGTTGCTGTGAGGGACACAAAGTACAAGTCATGGTCTCTGTGCACAGGGAGCTATTAGAGCAAGGGAGAGCACCTTGACCTCTAGTGACCAGGGAAGGCTTCTTGATGCTGGCTTGAGTGATGGATAGGAATTGAGTGCCCAAGACAGGGAAGGGAATTCCTTTAACAGCTGAATGAGTCTGGCTGTATCCTGTGTGTCAGGGGTGACTGTGTGTGTGTTGGCCCTGGCCACCCTCCAGCCCGGAACCGTGGGCAACACCCTCCTGCTGACCCGGCTGGAAAAGGACAGTCCCCCAGTCAGTGTGCAGATTCCCACTGGCCAGAACAAGGTAGGATTCCTGGGCCATGGAGCAAAGTTGGGCTGGATTGGGCTTCGGGTCAAGCTGCTCACATTCTGTGTTGAGGGAGGGAGAGATGGTGATCACGTGGACAAGCAGAGCTCTCACAGCCCCATCTCCCAAAGCTTCATCTGCGTTCAGTCCTGAATGAGTTTGATGCCATCCAGAAGGCACAGAAAGAGAACAGCAGCTGTACTGACAAGCGAGAATGGTGGACAGGGCGGCTGGCACTGGACCACAGGATGGAGGTGTGTGCTTCTGGGGTGGGGTCAGGCCTGCTCTAGGAATGACCCGGGGGGTCCCAGTGACTTCTCTACCAGACGGCCTGGGTCAGTGCTAAAGCCACTTCAAATCCCTTCTGGAAGTGTAGACCTAAATTTAAAAATATGTCACCTGGGGAGAACTTCAGAGCCCAGAACTTGAAGAATATATGGGAATGGATATTTAAAGATACGCAGAAAAAAAACGACTTAAACCCAACTATCAGCTTCCCAGCAGAAAGATACGTAAGACAGACATGCACATTGGAAAACGCATTTTCTCATCTCCAAAATGTCAGTGCCTGTGAGAAAGAAGCTTGGTTTCCTCTCTGACTGAAGGGTCTGCCCTCTGCATTCAGGTTCTCATCGCTTCCCTAGAGAAGTCTGTGCTGGGCTGCTGGAAGGGGCTGCTGCTGCCGTCCAGTGAGGAGCCCGGCCCTGCCCAGGAGGCCTCCCGCCTACAGGAGCTGCTACAGGACTGTGGCTGGAAATATCCTGACCGCACTCTGCTGAAAGTGAGTGAGGAAAGCAGGGAAGGGGGCCAGGCCCAGTGGCTTGCACCTGTAATCCCAGCACTTTGGGAGGCCAAGGCAGATGGATTGCTTGAGCTCAGGAGCTCGAGACCAGCCTGGCCAACATGGTGAAACCCTGTCTCTACGAAAATACAAAAATTAGCTGGGCATGGTGGCAGGCACCTGTAATTCCAGCTTCTCGGGAGGCTGTAGCAGGAGAATTGCTTGAACCTGGGAGGCGGAGGTTGCAGTGAGCTGAGATCGCCGCACTCCAGCCTGGGTGACAGAGTGAGACTCCATCTCAAAAAAAAAAAAAAGGATAGGCCCCTTGGCTTACGCCTATAATCCCAGCACTTTGGGAGGCCGAGGCAGGTGGGTCACAAGGTCAAGAGGTGAAGACCATCCTGGCCAACAGGGTGAAACCCCATCTCTACTAAAAATACAAAAATTAGCTGGGCTTGGTGGCACATGCCTGTAGTCCGAGCTACTCAGGAGGCTGAGGCAGGAGAATCGCTTGAACCTGGGAGGTGGAGGTTGCAGTGAGCTGAGATTGCGCCACTGCACTCCAGCCTGGGCGACAGAGCAAGACTCTGTCAAAAAAAAAAGAAAACAGGGAAAGGGAAGAAACTGGACTTAATCCTTTCCCAGCAGCTATCATGAATGAAGATGGTGCTCACCACCACTGTTTCCCTGCAGATCATGCTCAGTGGTGCCGGTGCCCTCACCCCTCAGGACATTCAGGCCCTGGCCTACGGGCTGTGCCCAACCCAGCCAGAGCGAGCCCAGGAGCTCCTGAATGAGGCAGTAGGACGTCTACAGGGCCTGACAGTACCAAGCAATAGCCACCTTGTCTTGGTCCTAGACAAGGTAAGGAGCTGGGGCAGAGGGGCAGTGTCTAGTGGGGAGTGAATACCAACTCATCCCCATGCCCCTTCTGACTTCTGCATATACCTGGCTGGGGACAGTAACCTCTTAGTGCTTTTTGCCCAGGACTTGCAGAAGCTGCCGTGGGAAAGCATGCCCAGCCTCCAAGCACTGCCTGTCACCCGGCTGCCCTCCTTCCGCTTCCTACTCAGCTACTCCATCATCAAAGAGGTGGGGTTCAGGGCGTAGTGTCTGGGGATGACTGGCGACTGGGGAAGACGTCAACAAAGAAGGGCAGAGAAACCTGAGAAGATAGGAGAGGGTCCTAGGAATGGCTCAGACATGGAAAGGGGCTGAGATTGTTAGAGCTTGGGCCTCTTGGTGAGACAAGCATCCTAATCGCCAGTGTCTCCTCCTCAGTATGGGGCCTCGCCAGTGCTGAGTCAAGGGGTGGATCCACGAAGTACCTTCTATGTCCTGAACCCTCACAATAACCTGTCAAGCACAGAGGAGCAATTTCGAGCCAATTTCAGCAGGTCAGGGGCGCGAAGACAAGAAGACGTGTGGGGAAGGGTAGACAACATACAGGGGCAACAAGCCTTTTCTCCAGAAACAGCTGTTGCAGCCCACCTTCTATCTAATGATCCCTCTGCTGTCTTTGCCACCTGACCCCTGCCATGCATTTCCCTATTCTCACACCTGCCTTTTCCCTGCAGTGAAGCTGGCTGGAGAGGAGTGGTTGGGGAGGTGCCAAGACCTGAACAGGTGCAGGAAGCCCTGACAAAGCATGATTTGTATATGTGAGTGCTTAAGGCAGGGATGTGGGGAGAGGGGCAGTCCTGAGGATGGTATCACCATGGGTTGCTTTGGGACTTGAGAGCCTCTGAAGACACAGGCAGAGGCCAGGTATTACTAGCTCAAGACTCATCTCACCTCCTTCTGCCTTAGCTATGCAGGGCATGGGGCTGGTGCCCGCTTCCTTGATGGGCAGGCTGTCCTGCGGCTGAGCTGTCGGGCAGTGGCCCTGCTGTTTGGCTGTAGCAGTGCGGCCCTGGCTGTGCGTGGAAACCTGGAGGGGGCTGGCATCGTGCTCAAGTACATCATGGCTGGTTGGTGAGTCTCCAAGGGCAAGACCCATCCTAGGGCATTAGGACTCCTGCCCTCACCCCAGGTTCTTTCCCAGGTCTGAATCTTGCCTCTCTTGTGCCCCATTTTCCTCCTATCCTAGTTAGTTCCCTGGCATGCCTGGACCATTAACCCTTAGCTCCCTTCTGTTCTTCTCTTGTAACCAAGGGCCAAAGGAGTTTCTCATTGGTTCAATCCTCTCCACTCACCCACCCCCACCACCAATGGTGTTTTCCTATGTATTCTGTTTTAGAGCCCTTACTTTGTATTTCCTCCTTTTCTTTTCCCAGCCCCTTGTTTCTGGGTAATCTCTGGGATGTGACTGACCGCGACATTGACCGCTACACGGAAGCTCTGCTGCAAGGCTGGCTTGGAGCAGGCCCAGGGGCCCCCCTTCTCTACTATGTAAACCAGGCCCGCCAAGCTCCCCGACTCAAGTATCTTATTGGGGCTGCACCTATAGCCTATGGCTTGCCTGTCTCTCTGCGGTAACCCCATGGAGCTGTCTTATTGATGCTAGAAGCCTCATAACTGTTCTACCTCCAAGGTTAGATTTAATCCTTAGGATAACTCTTTTAAAGTGATTTTCCCCAGTGTTTTATATGAAACATTTCCTTTTGATTTAACCTCAGTATAATAAAGATACATCATTTAAACCCTGTTTTGCGTAGTTTATCTGAGAACATTTAAAGACACGGCATGACTGCCCCCTTCCTACTATGTGGTACTGTAAGCTGACAGGAACAGGTTACAGCAGATCAAGTTTGAGTGCTTGGGGAAGAAAGGCAAAGACACAGGACAAAGCCTGCTGGGCCTGGCTGGGCCTCAGCAGACAAATCTGGAGGAGAAAGGGGCATCAAAATGCTAAGTAGAGACAGGCCCAAGGAAGGGTAGTGATAGACCCTTTGAGAGTGTTTTGGCCAGGTACCATCCGTCCGTCCTGTCTTCCTGCCGCAGGTATCTTTGGAGTGGCACTAGTGTTTTGTTTTTTGTTTTTGTTTTTTTTTGAGACAGAGTCTTGCTCTGTTGCCCATGCTGGAGTGCAGTGGCGCAATCTCGGCTCACTGCAACCTCTGCCTGCTGGGTTCAAGCGATTCTCCTGCCTCAGCCTCCTGAGTAGCTGGAACTACAGGCACATGCCGCCACGTCCCACTAATTTTTGCATTTTTAGTAGAGACAGGGTTTCACCATATTGGCCAGGCTGGTCTCGAACTCCTGACCTTGTGATCCACCCTCCTCAGCCTCCCAAAGTGCTGGGATTACAGGCGTGAGCCACCGCGCCCAGCCATGGCACTAGTTTTAATGCCTCAGTTGCCCTGCCTGCCTCCTAAGTAGATGTTAAAGGCTACTGCTGTCTGCCCATGTACACCTGTTACACTTACCAATGTGTAACTTTAGCAGTAGAGTCTGTGGATCTGTGGAGTTCTAGTGTGGTTTTTCTCTCCAATTGTTAAGCTCAAGGGAAGCAAGTATCTTACACTCTCACGTATCCCTCACATACAGCACATGGTAAAACCTTTTTTTTTTTGAGACAGAGTCTAGCTCTGTTGCTAGTGTGCACAATCACAGCCTACTGCAGCCTCAACTCTCCAGCTCAAGCGATCCTCCCACCTCAGCCTCCCATGTAGCTGGGACTACAGGCGTGTGCCACCAGCCCGGCTAATTTTTGTATTTTTTGTGGAGACGGGGTGTCGCCGTGTTGCCCAAGCTGGTCTCAAACTCCTGGGCTCAAGCAATCTGTCCTTCTCGGCCTCCCAAAGTGCTGGGATTGCAGGCGTGAGCCACCATGCCCGGCCAAAATATTTTATTGATTAATTTGTGCTGTACTTGGTTGACAATGGCGCTTCCTTGCTGTTCTCCCACCACCTCACTGGCAACGGGTGATAAACCCTTTTTCAGATCCTACTACGTGTCAGCCTACTTCCGGCTGGGGGAAGATGGTTATAGCGAGAGGGGAAGAATTGGTTCAGTGATGAGAACATGGTTGGTTCCTGCCTTCGACAAGCTTTCAATCTAATGCCTGTTTTTTTCCAAGGACAATTCAGAACGGTCTGACAAGGGATTTTTTTTTTTTTCCTGCCTTTCGGCCTCAGAGGCCATCTGGGAAAAAGAGTTTAGAATTTCCCTGCCATTTCCATGCCGTGCTGGGAGGAACATTTGAAATCGGGCCTGGCGGGGTACCAGCAGGCAGCAATAGCAAGCGGGGTGGAGAGGAGCAGGGCCAGGCCCCCGAGCCGTCGCCATGGCAATCCAGCCTGCTTTCCAGTAGCTTATACCACCCACGTGGAGTAGCATACACTACTTTGTAATATCGTGGTTGTGTCGTGAGAACTTTAAGATTTTGCAGTTCCTTGTAGGCAGGAGTCCTGTTTGCTGCTACTTTACAATACTAGGCTTAAGACATTTTATGAAATGAACTCACACAACAGTCTCTGAGAGGCTCAAGCCCCTCCTTCCCTTCCGGGACGGAGGATCATAGAGCTGTCTGGCGCAGCGAGGCCTCCCGGCGCCACCGAGACGCGCAGAGGACGGCTAGAGCGTTGCTCGCCGAGAGACTTCCTCTTCGTTAAGTCGGCCTTCCCAACATGGCGCAGTCTATTAACATCACGGAGCTGAATCTGCCGCAGCTAGAAATGCTCAAGAACCAGCTGGACCAGGTGGGGACGGGCCCCAGAGGCACCTCTTTCCTGCTCTACATCCCCCTTGCCCACGCGTACTTCTCGCGCCCGGTTCCAAGTTGGCAGCCTACCTTTCCCAGGCGAAACCTCTATCCGATCCCAGGACCTGCCCCCTCCCCGGCCGCGCTCCTTTCTCCCCTTAGTCCTCTCATTGACCCGCTATCCCGGTCCTCTGTAGGAAGTGGAGTTCTTGTCCACGTCCATTGCTCAGCTCAAAGTGGTACAGACCAAGTATGTGGAAGCCAAGGACTGTCTGAACGTGCTGAACAAGAGCAACGAGGGTATGGGGTAGGCGGGTGAGGGTAACCTAAAGTGGCGAACCTGCTTCTCTCGTCCCACCTCCTAACCCAGTTTTTCTTACCTGAAACGAGAAAATCCATTACATATCGTATACCGCTTCATGAACCCTTTGCATGTTGCCTGCCTAGAATTGAAAAGTACAGGACATTCCTCTGCTCCTATTGCCCCTGTTTCCGTTCTTTTCACACTGTCTGTGGGTGCTGTGCCCTGTTGGAACTCTCTTTAACGTCTTACGTTGGAGCCGCTAACCTTCCCCAGGTGTTTGTCTTCATTGCTTTCACAGGGAAAGAATTACTCGTCCCACTGACGAGTTCTGTATCCTTTCCACAGGAACGGCTACCTGCTGCCTTCTCCCTTTCTCCTTCACTCCCCCAAAAAGCGGGGAGGGGGATTGTTTTGATTACTTCAGATTACCCTCTCCTCACAATGATTTTGAGGATACCCTTTTTTTTTTTCTTTCTTTTTTGAGACGGAATTTCGCTCTGTCGCCCAGGCTGGAGCGCAATGGTGAGATCTTGGCTTACTGCAACCTCCGCCTCCCGAGTTCAAGAGATTCTTCTGCCTCAGTCTCCCGAGTAGCTGGGACTTTAGGTACGCGCCACCACGACCGGCTAATTTTTGTATTAATAGTAGAGTTGGGGGTTTCACCATATTGGCCAGGCTAGTCTCGAACTCCTGACCTCGTGATCCGCCTGCCTCGGCCTCCCAAAGTGCTAGGATTACATTACAGGCGTGAGCCACTGCCCCCGGCCAAGAATACTCTTATTACACACTTTGTAGCTCTTTTATCTGACTTCACACCAACATCCAGCTAATGTCTTGTGAACACCAAGGAGTATGTATAGTTGAGATGTAATATTTCCCTTTGCTGTTTGAGAACATTAATATGGAGATAAAGCTGGTGGTTTACACTTTGCTAATATCTTAGAAGATACAGGCAATAGACAAAAATAGGAGGATATAGAAACAGGGAGCTTGGCTCTGTTAATCTTCAACTTCAGCTTAATTGTGGCTCATTTCTAAACTGTCACTAAGAAACCTGGATTGTGTTCACTTGTTCAGTGTTTTATTTGAATGAGCAAGTTATGGCAGTAGGGCATCTTTAATCTGTAGTCTCAGAACTGACAGGCTAAAAGGAACACAGGAATAGTAGTGTGTAGTAGGGAATGGTTTAAAAAAAAAAATTAGCCAGGCACAGTGGTTCACGCCTGTAATCCCAGCACTTTGGGAGGCCAAGGCTGGCAGATCACCTGAGGTCAGGAGTTAGAGATCGGTCTGGCCAACATGGTGAAACCCTGTCTTTACTAAATATACAAAAATTAGCCAGGCGTGGTGGCACATGCTTGTAATCCCAGCTACTCCGGCGACTGAGACAGGAGAATTGCTTTAACCCGAGAGGCAGAGGTTGCAGTGAGCCGATAGCGGGCAATTGCACTCCAACCTGGGCGATAGAGCGAGACTCTGTCTCAGAAAGCAAAAAACAAACAAAACATTGACTTTGTCAGGAATTAGCTACTTCATGATTGAGGGCATTAAGGGAAATGAGGCTGGCTTTTTACTTGTAGTACTCTACAACAGTAGGAAAACATGTCTAGTCTTTCTGGAGGGGCTAATGGGAAGAATTGCAAGAACTGCTTAGAGAGTGAGAGATGGGATGAGGCAGGACAAGAGGGTGTTCCAGCATACATCATTTTCTCCTTAAAGAACCAACTTCTCTGTCTTCTTTCCATTTGGAGTTATAGGTATTGTTCTAAGGCCTCCAGATTATTCAGTCCTTATGCCTTGTAGCTTTTTGGAAAAAGAGGGTCTTTGGAGGCCAAGCAGGCTGGCTGGCGGAATCATGGCTCATGCTGGGCTGGCTAGTTTTTCCCTTAATTCTTGCTTCTCAGATGTATGTCCCTGGGAAGCTGCATGATGTGGAACACGTGCTCATCGATGTGGGAACTGGGTACTATGTAGAGAAGGTGAGTGAGAGCATGTGGATGCCCCTCTAAACAGGGAAGGGAAATTCAGGGGAAGCTCTAGAGCGCAGCATGGCCAGAGGGAGTCTCCTTTTAGCCCCTTATTCACCTCTGATCTTGTAGACAGCTGAGGATGCCAAGGACTTCTTCAAGAGGAAGATAGATTTTCTAACCAAGCAGATGGAGAAAATCCAACCAGCTCTTCAGGAGAAGCACGCCATGAAACAGGGTAAGTTTTTCCTGGGGCACCTCTTGACCCTATCTCCATAATAAGGAACATGGATTGCAGTGTGAACCACGGGGGTGTCCCCTTTGCTGGAGTAAAACTATGTCTTAGTTTCTCTTTGGCATCTTTAGAATCTGTGTATTGCATAATCACTATCTGTAGATTCCTGGGTTGAGCGTTTGAGAAATTTAGAGGAAGGAAATCATGTTTGTGCTTTGGTGGAGCTCCTATTTAATGACGATGGAATGGGGGAATGAGATGAACACACAGGAAGGAATCATGATCCAAACGAACTAAATACCAGCAATTATAACCCCGACTGCACATGAGAATCACTCAGGAAGTTTAAAAAGAAAGCTTGGGCCCATTCCAGATTGACTAAATCAACTTGGAAGTCAAAGGAGGGGAAGTTGTACCAAGGTCTGTTTTTTTTTAAAAAAGCTCCCCTCTGTTATAATCAGGATTCAGAACCAGTGTTCCAAAGGTAAAAATCTTTCCCCATCATAGTTTTCTGATTATGTCAGACTCATTTAATACCATATTGTGTTCGTTTTTATATCTTTGGTTAGCAGGTTTTTTTTTTTTCCGAGAAGAGTCTCATTCTCACCACACCCAGCTGTGTTAGCATATTGACCGATGCATTGTAGACCCTAAATTTGTGTTAGTGACCCCACAGTGGATCACTGAGTTAAAGTTTTATTAACAATGCCAGGCGCAGTGGCTGACGCCTGTAATCCCAGCACTTTGGGAGGCCAAGGCAGGTGGATCACCTGAGGTTAGGAGTTCAAGACCAGCCTGGCCACCATGGTGAAACCCCATCTCTACTAAAAATACAAAGTTAGCCCGGGCATGGTGGTGCATGCCTGTAATCCCAGCTGTTCGGGAGGATGAGGCAGGAGAATCGCTTGAACCCGGGAGACGGAGGTTGCTGTGAGCCAAGATCGTGCCACTGCACTCCAGCCTCGGTGACAAGAGCAGGATTCTGTCTCAAAAAAAAAAAAAAAAGGTTATTAACAAACTGTAGTTAGTCGGTCGCCTGTCCTTAAACTTGCCTGTCACTTCTCCTTAACTCTAGGTTCTCCTTTTTGCTTCTAACCTTTGACTCTTATTTTTTTCCACAGCCGTCATGGAAATGATGAGTCAGAAGATTCAGCAGCTCACAGCCCTGGGGGCAGCTCAGGCTACTGCTAAGGCCTGAGAGTTTTTGCAGAAATGGGGCAGAGGGACACCCTTTGGGCGTGGCTTCCTGGTGATGGGAAGGGTCTTGTGTTTTAATGCCAATAAATGTGCCAGCTGGGCAGAATGTTGGTCTTTTCTTGGATTAAGCAAGGGACTGGTGATGAGATGGGGGTGTGGTCGAGAGTGTGGGCCCCGTCTCAGAGCCTGATGCGCAGGGGTGATGCGATGCGCCTCTTGGAGGCTCCATCGCAGGGCCCTTTGACCAGCTGGAAGAAATCCTAGGCTGGGAGTGTGCTGCTGCTCACTCTGCAGAGCTGGTTGCCAAGGGAACGGTTGGCAAGCGGAAGTGGGGCTGCGCTGGCGCTTCCTCTTCCGGGTCGGCGCTCCTGCCTCCCTGCAGGGAGCTGCTTATGGGACACCGCTTCCTGCGCGGCCTCTTAACGCTGCTGCTGCCGCCGCCACCCCTGTATACCCGGCACCGCATGCTCGGTCCAGAGTCCGTCCCGCCCCCAAAACGATCCCGCAGCAAACTCATGGCACCGCCCCGAATCGGGACGCACAATGGCACCTTCCACTGCGACGAGGCACTGGCATGCGCACTGCTTCGCCTCCTGCCGGAGTACCGGGTACGGTCCGCGAAAAGTGACCCTGGGACTGCGTGCATGCATGCCTCCGGGGTGGATGGCATTCCGCCAACAGGGTCACTCCGATAGCGCCCGGCAGCCCAAGCACCCTTCCTACCCTTCCTGCCTCCCTGAAGTCCAGCATTAATCCCCTACCCGGCGACACCCGGCAGCCCCTTCACCCCTGTGTACCTCGCAGGATGCAGAGATTGTGCGGACCCGGGATCCCGAAAAACTCGCTTCCTGTGACATCGTGGTGGACGTGGGGGGCGAGTACGACCCTCGGAGACACCGATATGACCATCACCAGAGGTAGGTTCTCAGATACCATTTATTTAACTTCCTTGACCTCAGCTTTCCTCTGTGCTCCAATTCAGCCATCCACTGCCGTAGTCCGCGTCAGCGAAAAGAACTGCTTCATCACTGAAATCAAACTCCCACTAGGACTACATCATCCTTCCGGCCCTGCCTGTTCTTCACCCATCTCCCTGGCCTGGGACCTCCTTTGGTTCCCAGGGAGTCCCTCAGGCCCCTTATCTCATCTCCTTCCTTAGCCAAGGCTTTTTTTCCATCAGCAACTTCATCACCCCAACTAAATAAACCCATCTGTGATTAATCCATTCTGGTGCCCTTGCTGCTGCACCTAACTGCTGGGCCCACATGATTGTGGCAGTTGGTGACAGTTCAGATGTGTGAAGTTTTCTACTTCATTTACACCCTTCCAAAGGGAAATCCTTCTTGCTCAAGGGTAGCCTATTCCAATCCTTTTCTTCTCCCTCAAGCCTCTACCGCATCAAACTGAGTGTCCCTGCCTCTCTTCAAAAGAAGTTGAGCATTTCCTCAGTCTCCCACCTCAAACATCCTCAGCTCCCTCCTACCAACTAAGGGAAATTTCTTCCCTTCTATTGGAGGTTAATCCTCTGTCCTGTTTCCAGTCTATTACTTTCTTCTCTGGGATTCTTTTTTCTTTTCTTTTTTTTTTTTTTTGAGACGGAGTCTCCCACTGTCGCCCAAGCTGGAGTGTAGTGGCACGATCTCGGCTCACTGCAACCTCTGTCTCCCAGGTTCAAGCGATTCTCCTGTCTCAGCCTCCCGAGTAGCTGGGACTACAGGCACCCACCACCACACCCGGCTAATTTTTGTATTTTTAGTAGAGACGGGTTTCACCATATTGGCCAGAGTGGTCTCGAACTCCTGGCCTTGTGATCTGCCCCGCCTTGGCCTCCCAAAGTGCTGGGATTACAGGTGTGAGCCACTGTCGGCCTATCCTCTGGGATTTCATGTCACAGTTCCACTAGTGTCTCTGCCTCTCCTTCCCTACAGCCTAAAACCCTTCTCAAGTATCTTCCATCTTGAAAAGAAACACAGGTGTAAAAACAAAACCCTCCCTCAATTATACCACACCACGAGAAGTAATTATCTTGGAGAGAGGGATTATGATGTTTTAAGTCTCTCTCCTTTTTTCTTTTTTTAGCATACATATTATAAATGATGTCAGGAAGAAACCCTCCCAATATTTACAGCCTAAGCTCTCACCCTTGCTTCTCAGCCACCCTTCAAAAAACAGCTGACCGTGGCTTCACCTGTTCCTTTCCAGTTCATTCCCCTCAAGCCCACTCTCCCAGTGTCTTCTCTGGAACTGCTCGGCAGAAGGGCACCAGTTACCTCAGCACCAAACCAGGGAGCTGGTAAAGGGTCTCAACTGATCTCTTTAGCACTTGGCATTATTGACCACTTCCTTTTATCAAATTGTTTTTAAGATGGAGTCTCGTCTGTCACCCAGGCTGGAGTGCAGTGATGTGATCTCGACTCACTGCAACCTCCGTCTGCTGGGTTCAAGTGATTCTCCTGCCTCAGCCTCCCAAGTAGCTGAGACTACAGGCGCCCAGCTAATTTTTGTATTTTTAGGAGAGACAGTGTTTCACTATGTTGGCCAGTCTGGTCTTGAACTCCTAACCTCAGGTGATCCACCCGCCTCAGTCTCCCAAAGTGCTAGGATTGCAGGTGTGAGCCACCATGCCCAGCCTCATTTTTTTTATTTTTACTTTTTTTGAGATGGAGTTTCGCTATTGTTGCCCAGGCTGGAGTGCAGTGGCACTCAGCTCACTTCAACCTCCACCTCCCAGATTCAAGTAATTCTCCTGCCTCAGCTTCCCAAGAAGCTGGGACTACAGGCGTGTGCCACCATGTCCGGCTAATTTTTCCATTCTTAGTAGAAACAGAGTTTCAGCATGTTGGCCAGGCTGGTCTCAAACTACTGACCTCAAGTGATCACGCCTTGGCCTCCCAAAGTGTTGGGATTAGAGGTGTGAGCCACTGAGCCCAGCCTGTATTTACTCAATATTTAATAATAAAAGTCAGTTAACAAATGGAGCTCCCTAGGTAATTCTGAGATGGACTGGTATTTAGAAATCATGGCTGTAGTTTCTGCTTCCCTAACATCTGTTATATCTTTTCTCTATTTTCTGCCCCACTGCTGTTCAAATTCTTGCCTTCTTTATTCACCTGAACCATTGCAGGTAATCTCCTTGCATCTGTTCTCCATGCTGGCTGGTGCAATGCTGTAACATGCACCTGCCTGCTTAAAATCCCCCAATGACTTCGATTACCCACAGATAAAGTCCGATGGTCTGGCCCTGCCTGCCCTTCCAGCTTTTTCTTTTGCCATTCACTTCTCACACCTGAGCTGCCTTTGCTGAAGTTCCATCAAGACACTTGTCTCTCAGCCATCATTCATGTTGTTCTCTCTGCTTGGAATGCTTTTTCTCTTTCACCCCTTGTCTATCTGGTGGACACCCACTAATTCATCTTTCAGAACTGACCTGAAGGCTCTCCTCTGAACCCTTTCCTCATCCCTTCCTTCCTTTCCCTTGTCTCGTCTAGTGAGAGTACTCAGGGGGTTGTGTTTGTCGGCCTCCGGCAGATGAATCTGAAAGCAAGGACAGTGTCTTGGTTTTTTATCCTTAATGTCTAATAAAACATAAAATGTGGCAGATAGGAAGCATTGAGTTAACCATTGAATGAATGCATGGAGACTCTAGCCAAGGTCCCTCACCTCAGCCCCACCTCCCTATGCTCCTCAGGTCTTTCACAGAGACCATGAGCTCCCTGTCCCCTGGGAAGCCGTGGCAGACCAAGCTGAGCAGTGCGGGACTCATCTATCTGCACTTCGGGCACAAGCTGCTGGCCCAGTTGCTGGGCACTAGTGAAGAGGACAGCATGGTGGGCACCCTCTATGACAAGGTGGGGACCTGAGGACAGAGATGCCCCCCACATGCATTTCCAGCAGGCCGCCTGGGAGCAGTGCTCACACAGCACTCAGCACTGGGCCTCGGGTCAGGGTTCCTGGCCTATAGCAGGCCCAACACTCATCCTCTCCCTCAGTCAGGCTCATCTCACAAGGGAATGGTGATACCTCCCCTGTCTACATCCTGGGGTGGTTGTGAGAAGTGGATGCTGTAATATATGGGGAAGGGCTTTGAAAACCATAAAGCAGCATGGCCCCGTCTTTTTATTGACACACACAAACAGCAATTGCTCAGCACCTTTGGGTAAACAGAGGGGAGGCTGCTTATGTGTGGAAGCAGATGGCTCAGAGGTTCTGGCTGCCCTGAAGGTTGAGGGGAGTGTATGTTAGGCACCACTGTAGTTCACTAGTGGCACATAAATTGGGAAGCTCAGCTGAGAAGAGTTTTATTATGAAACTGTCTTTGGATTCCACCAGTGTCCCCTGCAAGCAGCTTCCTGCTCTTAGGGAAAGAATATGGCTAGTGGCCCTGGCATGCAAGTCAGGTCGCACAGTACTGAGGACACTTACTTGTTTACAAGTCAAAGCCCAGGTTCAGTCAGCTGTATTTCTTGCAGGTAGG
The DNA here is from genome assembly GCF_000001405.40 of Homo sapiens. Classification (NCBI taxonomy): domain Eukaryota; kingdom Metazoa; phylum Chordata; class Mammalia; order Primates; family Hominidae; genus Homo; species Homo sapiens. The sequence goes on from NW_025791795.1 coordinate 27,579, forward strand.
CTGTTGAATTCAGTTCTCAGTTTTTTTGTTGTTTTTTGTTTTGAGACGGAGTCTTGCTCTGTCGCCCAGGCTGGAGTGCAGTGGCGCAATCTTGGCTCACTGCAAGCTCCGCCTCCCGGGTTCACGCCATTCTCCTGCCTCAGCCTCCCGAGTAGCTGGGACTACAGGCGCCCATCACCATGCCCGGCTAATTTTTTGTATTTTTAGTAGAGGTGGGGTTTCACCGTGTTAGCCAGGATGGTCTTGATCTCCTGACCTCGTGATCTGCCCACCTCAGCCTCCCAAAGTGCTGGGATTACAGGTCTGAGCCACTGCACCCGGCCCATCAGTTCTCAGTTTTAGCTTGCCCATTTTCTGCCCTCTGTAACTATAGAGTTTTTGGAATATCAAGATTTTAGACTGCCTGGGTCAGTTTTCCCTTCCACTGCTGAAGGGTTTCTAAACAACTGACTAAATTTTTGTTGTTGTTTTTTTTTGTTTTTTTGAGACGGGGTCTTGCTCTGTCATCCAGGCTGGAGTGCAGTGGCACGATCTCAGCTCACTGCTACCTCCGCCTCCTGGGTTCAAGCGATTCTCCTGCCTCAGCCTCCCAAGTAGGTGAGATTACAGGCGCCTGCCACCACGCCTGGCTAATTTTTTATTTTTAGTAGAAACGGGGTTTCACCGTGTTAGCCAGGCTGGTCTCAAACTCCTGACCTCAAGTAACGCACCCACCTTGGCCTCCCAAAGTGCTGGGATTACAGGCGTGAGCCACTAATCCCAGCAACAATTGACTAAATTTAACCCGTATTTTTTTTTGAGAGACTGTTGCCCAGGTTGGAGTCCAGTGGTGCCATCATGGCTTGCTGCTGCTTTGAACTCCTGGGCTCAAGCAGTCTTCCCACCTCAGCCCCCCAAGTAGCTGAGACTACAGGTGCATGCCACCATGCCTGGCTAATTATATATCTTAATTTTTTTGTAGAGAGGGTCTTGCTATGCTGCCCAGGCTGGACTCAAACTCCTGGGCTCAAGTGATCCTCCCACCTCAGCCTAAACCCATGTTTTTTTTTTTTTTTTTTTGAGACGGAGTCTCGCTCTGTCGCCCAGGCTGGAGTGCAGTGGCGGGATCTCGGCTCACTGCAAGCTGCGCCTCCCGGGTTCACGCCATTGTCCTGCCTCAGCCTCCCAAGTAGCTGGGACTACAGGCGCCCGCCACTACGCCCGGCTAATTTTTTGTATTTTTAGTAGAGACGGGGTTTCACCGTTTTAGCCGGGATGGTCTCTATCTCCTGACCTCGTGATCCGCCCGCCTCGCCTCCCAAAGTGCTGGGATTACAGGCGTGAGCCACCGCGCCCGGCCTAAACCCATGTTTTAACTGAGCATCAGGTTGGGGTCCAAACCAAGAAGAGCTGGGCATAGGAGTTACTTTCTCAGTGCTCTGAGAGTAGCACTTTTCTACATACCACAGGTGTACTGTTATGGAGGCCTATTTTGTAGGGTAATTTTGCATAAAGTTTCTGCCCCGAGACTCTTGAGGCATTATCCTACCATTTATTCAGACCCAGGAGACAACTGCTGATGTCATGAGGCACATTATGGGCTTCCCTGGAACCCTAACCCAGCAACCAGCTTTTGGTGTCTAGTCTCACACTCATTTTCTCCCACTTGACTTGTGTTCTCAACCAGAGCCGCTCCTGCACCTCATTAACCGTGTCACTGAATACCTACTCACCCCACCTGGAGATTTACCAGCCTTCAGCCACAGGGACCCACTCCCACAGAGAGCCTCTAGCACCTAGAGACCTTCCTTGTTCAAAAGTTAGCAGTCCCCTCCCTACACGTGTTGGCTTTGGTTTGGGCTTTGTGCAGCAGAATGAGCATGGATTAGAAATCAGGTGATCTGAATTCCAGTCACAGCACAACGAGCTGTCTGAGCTTCAGCGAGCTGCTGAACTTGCCAATTCTCCCTTTTCTCATCCAGTTAATGTTGAGAGATCCTCACAGGGCTGAAAGAGTGTGTATGAACATACTTTGAATCATGTAAGATTTCACATAAGTAGCAGGTAGCCTCAAGAAGGTTTCCCCTGCTGCTGCCTTAGATGTATGAGAACTTTGTGGAGGAGGTGGATGCTGTGGACAATGGGATCTCCCAGTGGGCAGAGGGGGAGCCTCGATATGCACTGACCACTACCCTGAGTGCACGAGTTGCTCGACTTAATCCTACCTGGAACCACCCCGACCAAGACACTGAGGTAAGGTGGCCTGGGAGGAGACCCGGAGACCTGTAAGAACCTTGGGTGGGGGGAAAATGGGAGCATTTGCTCCTCCTAAGCCCTAGCAAATTCCAAGTTTGGGCCAGCATCATGGTTCTAATTCTCATCATTCCCAGGCAGGGTTCAAGCGTGCAATGGATCTGGTTCAAGAGGAGTTTCTGCAGAGATTAGATTTCTACCAACACAGCTGGCTGCCAGCCCGGGCCTTGGTGGAAGAGGCCCTTGCCCAGCGATTCCAGGTATAGGCCTTGGAGGAGGCATTATGGCTTGAGGATTACTGACTGCCAATCAACAGGAACTCCTGCTTCTTCTACCCTAAACCCTGGAGTGCAGTGGCAGACAACCTCAACCTCTTAGGCTCAAGCAGTCCTCCCACCTCAGCCTCCTGAGTAGCTGGGACTACAGGCACACACCACCTCACCCAGCTAATTTTTGTATTTTTTGTAGAGACAGGGTCTTACTTTGTTGCCTAGGCTAGTCTCAAATTCCTGGGCTCAACTGATCCTCCCACCTCAGCCTCCCAAAATGTTGTGACTACAAACATGATCACCATGCCCAGCCTACCTTAAACCTTCTAGCTATGCTCTCCCTCTTTCAGGTGGACCCAAGTGGAGAGATTGTGGAACTGGCGAAAGGTGCATGTCCCTGGAAGGAGCATCTCTACCACCTGGAATCTGGGCTGTCCCCTCCAGTGGCCATCTTCTTTGTTATCTACACTGACCAGGCTGGACAGTGGCGAATACAGTGTGTGCCCAAGGAGCCCCACTCATTCCAAAGCCGGTGAGGCCCTAGGGAACCACTCTGCAGACCTTCAGGCTTGTCTCAGCCTTGTTAAGAGAAGGCTGCCAACTCTGACCCCTGCTGTACTCCCTCTTTCTGCCCAGGCTGCCCCTGCCAGAGCCATGGCGGGGTCTTCGGGACGAGGCCCTGGACCAGGTCAGTGGGATCCCTGGCTGCATCTTCGTCCATGCAAGCGGCTTCATTGGCGGTCACCGCACCCGAGAGGGTGCCTTGAGCATGGCCCGTGCCACCTTGGCCCAGCGCTCATACCTCCCACAAATCTCCTAGTCTAATAAAACCTTCCATCTCATACTGACCCAGTCCTTGACTTATTCTTGCCCTACACCATTCCAGAAACTTGTGAAAAGTGAAACAACTATTTATGTGTAAGACCCTGTGCTAGATATATTTTCTTCACAGTAACTTCTCAGCCTTGCTTCCCAAATCATTTGAAACCATAGTTTCTAGGATTAAATAACGTGACCAAATTCACAAGTGGCTAAAAAGTGACAGAACAGGGCCTTAACCCAAAGTCCATGCTTTTTTCCCCTACTGTACCCCACTGCAACTCCCTGGAAAAGACAGACTGGTAACTGAGTGGAAAACAAAAGGAAAACTTATTTATTCTTAGAGGTGGGAATGTGGGGAGTGGGGCAGAACAGGTGGTGGCCCTGGGAGAGGGTCCCAAGGGGCAGAGGTTGGGGATGTCTCAGTAAAGAGGGGCAGGTCATGAATAGAGCCTCCACCCCCAGCAGGGGGTTCCTGGGCCCGCCCAAGCACTGGGCTAAAACGTGGAAACTGGGCATTGACAAAGTACAGCGGGATGTGGGCAATTCGGCCTGTGGACCAGCCCTGCAGAGAAGGGAAAGAAAAGGATCAGAGTCTGGGCCCAAAGAAGGGCCACCTGGCAGAGCCATACAGCAGCCAAGGCCCTCAGCTTCTCCATCCAACTCCTGGAAGCCCCAGCAGCCTGGCGCACTCACCACACTGAGCAGGGCCCCTTTGTTGAAGGAAGGATGGAAAGTGATGAGCTGGGGCTGGGCTCCTGGCTCCCCCTGGATAATGCCACTAGAAGAAAAGGTGAGCAGGCAACCGGAGGCAAGAAGGGAGCTGAATGTAGTGGGATGTGGGTTTGTTTGTGCAGGAAGGCTGGTGAGAAGTCCAGACCTAAGGGCCCACATGGCACTTACCAGGGAAGGAGCTCAAACACAGGGCTGTTTCGAGTGCGAAAAAGGAGGATGACTGGTTTACCATCCTGTACCCTTGGCTTTCCTGTAAGAAATGGATCCAGGGATAGGGGAGGAACTCTGAAGGCAGAGTCCCAGGACATGGGCAGAGGAGAACTCCAGGCCAGGGCACGGCCTCATTAGATTAACTGGGAAGATGGCTGTGGGCTGAGCCCTTCATCCTTGCCTCTCACCTTTCATAAGCACAGCCAGACGTTCCCCACTGGGGTCCCAGACCATGGAGTGAGCCTCTCCCCCAAGCCTGTGGGTAAGGACAGGTTAGGAGAGTTTCAGTGTGGTCCCTCCCACCTGCTTTTCACTGCCACTCCCTCAACCACTCAGCTCACCTCTCCTCACCATCTGGTGTCTGTATTGTTGTCTCAGACAGATCTGCCACAATCGTTGCTGACTTTGCACCTCCAACGCACCCCTTTCCCTCACCTGTGGACAAATAAGAGCAGAGAGGTTCTTGCAAGAAACAGGCCTCTCACTGGTCCCCTGCCAGCTCACCAAAGGCATCAACACCTCGAAATCTCCTAAGCTTCTATATTTCCCTTTATCCCTCAGAGCTGCATCTTACCAAAGGTTGCTGCCTCCCTCTGACCACCCCAAATACTGAAGTGTTGCCCTAACTCACCACAACGTTCTGGAAAAGACAGGGAGTAAATCAGTGGCTCTCCCAATACAGTGAACAGCAGTCGGCTGCCATCTGGGCTCCAGCAGCCAGTCTGGGGTCAGGGAGCAAAAGGCAGGAGAAGGTATGTCTATAGTAGAATGCAGGAGGGAAAGTAGAGGTGGCCAGGTTTGGGAGCATCAGGGGCCCATTGGAATCATCTCCTCCCCAGTGTCTGTGAATCAGAGTCCCCTCTTACCTGACAGCGCCCTGATAGAGTAGGCCACCTCTCACAAGTCCACATCTGGGCCTCCCAGACTCTGAGCCAGAGAAAAGCAAATTACAGCTCAGGACCTCTAAGTTCTAAAAGTTGGACCTACCTCCCTTGACAGAGCTTCCAGGAGCTAAGTGCCTTTCTCTAGGTCCTTGCCCTCCCTCCATCCTTGTCCCACTCACCGAAAGACAGCTGAAGGAGTGGTAGCCAGGATTTTGCTGCCGTCTGGGGACCAGAGCAGGTTGGTCACCCCACCTCCTCGGAACCAGGGAAGGGGGACACAGGTCTCTGTTGAGACATCCCATACCTAGGAGAGTGGGGCAGGAGATAAGGGAAAACTCAAGCACCCCATCATCTCACAGTGGGCTGGCCTCTCTAATGTACAAAGAGCCAGAAACGAGAGGAAGCGGGAGAGGGACTGTGAAACATGAGGCACGGGTTCATGCTGACAATTACAGACAGCGGAATTTTAAACCTCACGAGTCTGATGGCAAAGCTCCTCTCTGGGTAAGTTTAAGACTGAATGGACCAAGGTCCCTCCTCCTTCCCCCAAGATGTTTCCACAACCGAGTGAGGAACACTTTTGCCAGGACTGAAATGTGCATGAGGGGCAGGGACCCACTCACCCGGATAGCAGCATCCACGGGTGAAGCTGAGAGCAGCCGCCCCCCACTGGGGGCCCAGGCCAAGCTGGTAACAGGTGTATGCCCAGGGTGAGACAGCACTTGGGCACAGCCAGAAGAGGGTCTGGAGGGGAACACAGAGGATGTGGAGTCAGAAGATGACAAGAAGCCATCCCCAAAATTCTATTTCTTTGCCTCCTGCTAAAACCTCCTATCCTGATGGCCCACTCTGGGCTCAAATCCAGGTTGTGAAAAAGGAATAAGGATTGTGAAAGTTAAAAGAAAAAAACAGCGAAGGGGAAAAACGACCAAGTCACCACGAGCAGGTCAACAGAGAAGAGGTAATCTGCAAGGTCTCAGGCCAGGGTGAAAGAGTGCTTTCACGAGATAGGCCATGAGGCAAAACCTAACCAGTAACCTAGAAGGTACTGCCCCTGGGGCGATATCAGGCCCTACCCCAGAACACAGCTCTCTGCCCACAGGCCATCCAGCCTGGCCATCCATCTATCCAGGATTAATAATCTATGACATTACTTCAAGGTTCCAACCTTTTCTCTCCAGTTATCTAACACTCCTCAGAACACATCCTGTGCTCCCAAACAGCCCTCCTGCCTTGCCTTATCAAAGTACCTCCCAACTCTGCAGCTCCCGCGTTTGCTCCTTATCATAAAGATGCTGCAGGCTGGGCGCAGTGGCTCACGCCTGTAATCCCAGCACTTTGGGAGGCCGAGGTGGGCGGATCACGAGGTCAAGAGATCGAGACCATTCTGGCCAACATGGTGAAACCCCGTCTCTACTAAAAGTACAAAAAAATTAGCTGGGCGTGGTGGTGTTCGCCTGTAGTCCCAGCTACTTGGGAGGCTGAGGCAGGAGAATTGCTTGAACCCGGGAGGCGGAGGTTGCAGTGAGCCGAGATTGCACCACTGCACTCCAGCCTGGCGACAGAGCGAGACTCCGTCTCAAAAAAAAAAAAAAAAAAGATGCAGCATGTGGCTCGGCCTCCATCACCAGCAGGGAACTACCTGAGGGCACCTGCCATGTGTCTGCAGCTGTGTATTTCCAGAGCCATGTGCCTGGCCTGACAGACGAAGGCTACTACCTGAATTAATGCCACCTCTCTTTCCACCTAACTATAACCACCTTCAGCTCCAGTGAAGTCTTAGTCATGGATGTACAATTTAATTCTCTTGAACTTTATGATAAATCACAGCTGCCTTTGCAGGTGGGTTCAGATTCATCTCATTCTTTTCAGTGGCTCCATTGTATACCACTCAATAGATGAACTATAATTTATTGAGTCATGCCTCTACAAATGGACATTTGACTTGTTTGTAATTTTTTATTATACATAATGCTGTAAAAAATATTTCCTGGGCCAGGCATGGTGGTTCACACTCCAGGATGGAGTGCAGTGACACAGTCATAGCACACTGCAGCCTCAAAGTCCTGAGGCTCCTGCCTCAGCCTCTAAAGTAGCTAGGACTACAGGCGTACACCCCACGCCCAGCTAGTTTTTTTATTTTTATTTTTTGTATAGACAGCATCTATGTTGACCAAGCTAGTCTCAAACTCCTAGGCTCAAGCGATCCATCTGCCTCAGCCTCCGAAAGTGCTGGAATTACACGCATGAGCCATCACGCCTGGCCTTGTTTTTTGTTCATTTATTTAAAAAAATTTTTTTAAATCGAGTTCCGCTCTTGTCACCCAGGCTAGAGTACAATGGCATTATCTCAGCTCACTGAAACGTCCACCTCCTGGGTTCAAGTGAATTCTCCTGCCTCAGCCTCCTGAGTAGCTGGGATTATAGGCGCACGCCACCACACCCAGCTAATTTTTGTATTTTTAGTAGAAACAAAAAAAACCAACAACCTTCCAGGCGTGGTGTACGCACCTATAGTCCCAGCTACTTGGCAAGGGGCTCACTTGAGCCCAGGTGTTCAAGGCTGTAGTGTGCAATGATTGAGTCTGTGAATAGCCACTGTATTCCAGCCTGGGCAACATAATGAAACCCCATCTCTAAAAAAACCAAAAAACAGGCCAGTTGCAGCGGCTCATGCCTGTAATCTCAGCACTTCGGGAGGCCGAGGCAGGCGGATCACCTGAGGTCAAGAGTTTGAGACCAGCCTGGCCAATATGGTGAAACCCCTGTCTCTACTAAAAATAAAAAATTAGCCGGTGTGGTGGCACGCACCTGTAGTCCCAGCTACTTGGGAGGCTGAGGCAGGAGAATCGCTTGAACCCAGGAGGCAGAGGTTGTTGCAGTGAGCTGAGATGGCGCCACTGCACTCCAGCCTGGGCGACAGAGTGAGATTCCATCCCCCCCCAAAAAAAATCTGTGATCACGTGTTTTTTTCTTATAGTACCTATTGTCAAGGTTTAGGTATCAGGGTTACATTAGCTTTATAAAAATAAATCAGGAAGATCCTGCAACAAAAAAAAGGGAGGACAGGCCGGGCATGGTGGCTCACGCCTGTAATCCCAGCACTCTGGGATGCTGAGGCGGGCGGATCACGAAGTCAAGAGGAGAATCACTTGAACCCGGGAGGCAGAGGTTGCAGTGAGCCGAGATTGCACCACTGCACTCCATCCAGCCTGGGCAACAAAAGTGGAACTCCATCTCAAAAAAAAAAAATCTCATTATTTTCTTCTACAATCCACTTTGGTAACTTATATTTTGCTAGAAAATCAAACATTTCCACAGGGCACGGTGGCTCACTTCTATAATCCCAGCACTTTGGGAAGCCAAGGCGGGCGGATCACAAGGTCAGGAGTTCAAGACCAGCCTGGCCAATATGGTGAAACCCTATCTCTACTAAAAATACAAAAATTAGCTAGTGCGTGCCTGTAGTCCCAGCTACTTGGGAGGCTGAGGCAGAAGAATCACTTGAACCCGGGAGGCTGAGGTTGCAGTGAGTCGAGATCGTGCCACTGCACTCCAGCCTGGGCAACAGGAGTGAAACTCCTTCTCAAAAAAAAAAAAGAAATCAAACATTTCCTTCAGATTTTCAAATCTGTTGGCCTAAACAAGTCCACAATATTCTTTTATAATTCTTCTATTTTCTCCCGTATCTATATCTTTCCACTTCTGAAAATAGTATACTTTGGTTTTCTTTTTCTCCTTAATTAGGCTAACCAAGAGGTTTTCTTCTTTATTCATATATATACGTATATACACGTATACATACACGTATATATATATATACGTGTATATATATGTGTATATATATAAAACATATATGTGTGTGTGTGTGTATATATATATATATTTTTTTTTTTTGAGACAGAGTCTTGCTTTGTTGCCCAGGCTGGAGTACAGTGGCGTGATCTCAGTTCACTGCAACCTCCGCCTCCCAGGTTCAAGTGACTCTCCTGCCTCAGCCTGCCAAGTAGCTGAGACTACAGGCGAGCACCACCACGCCCAGCTGATTTTTTGTATTTTTAGTAAAGATGGGGTTTCACCGTGTTAGCCAGGATGGTCTCTATCTCCTGACCTCATGATCCACCCGCCTCAGCCTCCCAAAGTGCTGGGATTACAGGCGTGAGCCACCGCGCCTGGCCTTTTTTTTTTTTTTTTTTTTGAGACAGGGTCTCACTCTGTTGCCCAGACCAGAGTACAGCTGTAGTGGCATGATGTCAACTCACTGCAACCTCCGCTTCCCGGGTTCAAGTGATTCTTGTGTCTCAGCCTCCCAAGTAGCTGGGATCACAGGCACGCACCACCACGTCCAGCTAATTTTTTTGTATTTTTAGTAGAGATGGGGTTTCGCCATGTTGGCCAGGCTGGTTTCGAACTCCTGGCCTCAAGAAATCCACCCACCTTGGTCTCCCAAAGTGCTGAGATTACAGGCATGAGCCACTGCGCCTGGCCTAATTTTTGTATTTTTAGCAGAGACGGGTTTTACCATGTTGGCCAGGCTGGTCTCAAACTCCTGACCTCAGGTGATCCTCACGCCTTGGCCTCCCAAAATGCTGGGATTACAGGTGTGAGCCACTGTTCCCAGCCTTTATTCATAATTTTTTTTTTTTTTTGAGACAGAGTCTCGCTCTGTTGCCCAGGCTGGAGTACAGTGGCATGATCTTGGCTCACTGCAACCTCCGCCTCCCAGATTCAAGCGATTCTCCTGCCTCAGCTTCCCGAGTAGCTGGGACTACAGGTGTGTACCACCATGCCCAGCTAATTTTCATATTTTTAGTAGAGACAAGGTTTTGCTATGTTGGCCAGGCTGGTCTCGAACTCCTGACCTCAGGTGATCCAACCGCCTCCACATCCCAAAGTGTTGGAATTACAGGCATGAGCCACCGCACCCAGCTTAGTCATAATTTAAAGAACCAGTTTCTGGTTTTATTTTTAGTTAGTTTTCACAGGTATTCTTTTTCTAATTTTATTAGTTTCTGATCTTATTAGTACTAATTTTCTTTACACTTCCTTTAAGTGTAAAGGAAGTGTATAGTCCTCTGAAAGAGTCTTTCCACCCCGTAACCCACAGACACATTGTCCCCACAATCCAAAAAGCCCCTAGTTCTCTTTCTCCAGATTAGAGTATTCTCAGCAACCCACCTTGATCTTACTTCTGCTTTTCCCATAGCCCTGGGAAGTGCTGTGAGGACAAAGAACTTCTCCTTTCAGACGTCCTCACCACCCACCATGCCTAGCATTGCACAACTCTCAGGCCAAGGTAAGGCAGGCTACTAGGACTTACCGGGTAGACAAGGAGGTAGGGTCCAGGGTCCAGATAAGAATGCAGCTCTGGCAGGCCACAGCCAAGACAGAGGCACTAAGGGGCTTCCAGGCCAGAGACGCCACATTTCGCTGCAGCCGGTGCTTCAGGGAGGGGACTATGGTGCTAGGGTGAAGGGGCAGGAAACTGAGTCAAGGCAGGAACACTAAGGCTCCAGGGACCAGAGTGCAGTTAAGGAGGGAAAGCCACAGAGAAGAAGGATGATCCATCCAGGGGCCAGGGGCACCATAGGACAGGAGGGGATAAAGGTTAGGTCTAGAAGAAGCACGCATCCAGTTATGGAGCTTCCCTGACCCCAGTTCTGGAAGGAGCCCCATGAATCAGGTTCAAGAACTACAGGACTCCCCGGAACCAAGGCTGGCAAGGGAAGGTGATATTGACAAGTCAGAGCCCACCTGGTGTCCCCACACACACCTGCTGGCATTATACACACGGACTGAGTCATCTAGCAGGGCCACTGCAAACTTGTTGGTGTGGGGGTGCCATGCAAAGACACGCAAGCAGCAGCTGGACCTAAGGAAGGGGTTAACATGAAGAGTTCCTGCACCTATCCCTACCCTAGCCCAGAAGCTCACATTCATTTCCAGTAAGGACATGGTTTTTTCCTACTTTTTCTTGTATTCTTTTTTGGGGGAACAGGAGGAATGAGAATATGGTGAGCAATCAGAAAAGGAGTAGGAGTCTTTGCCTTCTCCCCAAAGGGAGTTTTGAGGTTCAGGACTTCCTTTCCACAAAGCTCCAGGGCTTGTGCACTCACCAATTTGTGACTTGGGCAAATTCAGCGATCAGATCTTCGCTCCTGAGCTGTAAGAACAAGATAGACACAGGACACACTGGGGCAAAAGGAGTCCATCTCCTCAATATTCCAACAGGGGAGCTGGACCACTCCTACCCTCTGAAGTCATCACACCCAACCCTGACCTGCAAGGATAGGAATGAGGGCAGAGTAGGATGGGGACACAGCAAATGCAGAGGGCTGGGGAGGAAGCCAAACTTACAGACAGATGGGGGAACAGGGACCCATGGAGGGAAGAGGCCCATCGACAGAGTGCCAGGGCCCAGCCGGATGCCGTCTTCACCCACTCAAACACTGTAGGGTTGAGGAAGCAGCTCTGATTAAACCATTCACAGGCCTCTTACCAGGTACCTTCTAGGTGAAAGACAAGGAAGGACAGGCACTCCCCAGGTCCTTCTGCCCAGTAAGTGCTCTCAACACCACACTCTGGACACCCACTCTGGACACCCACTCTGGGTTATTTGGGTAGGTAGAGGAGAGGACAGGAAAAATAGGGCTAAAAGAGGCTGAGCCAACAGGTGTCGGGGGTGAGTTCAAGAATATGGAGAGGAGATAACCACAAAACTAGGGAAGGCTGGAGGGAAAAATACTTACCCTCTTCTTCTGAGTTTGCAATTTCATTTAGCACCCCAAAAAGGCCCACATCACGCCTGATAAGGGAGGAAAATGTGGGTCAGCTTACTCTGATCCCCTCTGTCCCTCTCTACCAGTTTCATTCATTCAATATACATGTATTAAAAATATGGGCACTCACATTTAATGAGTGCCAACTATGTACCAGGCACTCTACGGGCTGTCCTTTCATTTACATATCTCACAAATCTGAACGAGATTCTACCCATTTACGGATGAGACAACCAAGGCTCAGAGGACTTTTGGGGCTTTGTGAGCAGGTTAAGGAGTTGGGACTTGCTCTAAGACAATGAATGGAAAGCCATGGAAGGGTTCTAAGGAGAAGAATAAACAGATCACACAGCAGCATTTTAGAAAGAGCAGTCTGGCTGCAGATTAGAGAGTGATAAGAATAGAAAAGGCCAGGCTGGCTGTGGTGGCTCACGCCTATAATCCCAGCACTTTGGGAGGCTGAGGTGGGTGGATCACGAGGTCAGGAAACTGAGACCATCCTGGCCAACATGGTAAAACCCCGTCTCTACTAAAAATGCAGAAATTAGCCAGGTGTGGTGGTGCGTACCTGTAGTCCCAGCTACTCAGGAGGCTGAGGCAGGGCAGGAGAATCACTTGAACCCAGGAAGCGGAGGCTGCAGTAAGCCGAGATTGTGCCACTGCACTCCAGCCTGGGCGACAGAGTGAGACTCTGCCTCAAAAAAGAAGAAAAAAAAAAAAGAATAGAAAAGGCCAGGCGCGGTGGCTCACACCTGTAATCACAGCACTTTGGGAGGCCAAGGTGGGCGGATCACGAGGTCAGGAGATCAAGACCATCCTGGCCAACATGGTGAAACATGTTGAAAAATATGAAAATTAGCCAGGTGTGGTGGTCCATGCCTATAATCCCAGCTACTCCATAGGCTGAGGCAGGAGAATCGCCTGAACCCGGGAGGTGGCGATTGCAGTGAGCCAACATCGTGCCACCACACTCCAGCCTGGGCAACAGAGCAAGACTCCATCTCAGACAAAAAAAAAAAAAAAAAAAAAGAAGAGAAAAAATAGAAAAAGTCCAGGTGCAGTGGCTCAACCCTAGCACTTTGGGAGGCCAAGGCAGGTGGATCGCCTGAGCTCAAGAGCTTGAGACCAGCCTAGGCAACATAGGGAAATGCTGTCTCTACAAAAAAAAATACAAAACTTAGGCAGGTGTGGTGGCACATGCCTGTAGTCCCAGCTACTTGGGAGGCTGAGGAAGGAGCATCACTTGAGCCCTGGGGGCTGACAATGCAGTGAGCCGTGTTCCATGTTTGCGCCACTGCACTCCACACTGGGCAACAGAGCAAGATGCTGTCTCAAAAAATAATAATAATAATAGAGAAAAATAAATCAGTTAAGAATCTACTTCAGGGCCGGGTGCGGTGGCTCACACCTGTAATCCCAGCACGCTGGGAGGCCAAGGCAGGTGGATCACGAGGTCAGGAGTTCGAGACCAGCCTGGTCAAGATGGTGAAACCTCATCTCTATTAAAAATACAAAAATTGGCCAGGTGCGGTGGCTCACACCTGTAATCCCAGCACTTTGGGAGGCTGAGGCGGGCGGATCACAAGGTCAAGAGATCAAGACCATCCTGGCTAACACGGTGAAACCCCATCTCTACTAAAAATACAAAAAATTAGCCAGGTGTGGTGGTGGGCGCCTGTAGTCCCAGCTACTCGGGAGGCTGAGGCACGAGAATGGAGTGAACTCGGGAGGCGAAGCTTGCAGTGAGCCGAGATCGTGCCACTGCACTCCAGCCTGGGCAACAGAGCGAGACTCCGTCTCAAAAAAAAAAAACCAAAAAAATAAAACAAAACAAAAATTAACCAGGCGTGGTGGTGTGCACCTGTAGTCCCAGCTACTCAGAGGCTGAGGCAGAAGAATTGCTTGAACCCAGGAGGCGGAGGTTGCAGCGAGCTGAGATCACGCCACTGCACTCCAGCCTGGGTGACAAAGTGAGACTCTGTCTCAAAAAAAAAAAAAGAATCTACTTCAGGAACCTAGGAAAAAGGTGAAAGTGGCCTGAACTGGTGGGGATGAAGAAAAAGAGACAGATTTGAGAGATTTAGGAATTAGCATAAACAAGATGTGAAGACTAATCAGACATTAGTAAAGGAAAGAGCAATACAACAGAAACACCTAGGTAATAATTACATCAGCTAATATGCTTACAATGTGCCAGCTCTGGACTAGGTGCCTCACATTAACTAATCAAGCCATTATGACAATCCTACAAGATAGGTATTGTTATCACTGCATTTATTTTTATTTTATTGAGACAGGGTCTTGCTCTGTGACCCAGGCTGGAGTGCAATATCACCATCACGGCTCGCTGCAGCCTCAATCTCCTGAGCTCAGGTATTCTTGCCTCGGCCTCCCGAGGAGCTGAGACTACGGGTGCACACCATCATGCCCAGCTAATTTTTAAATTTTTTGTAGAGATGGGGTTTCAGTGTGTGTGTGTGTGTGTGTGCGTGTGTGTGTGTGTGTGTGTGTGTGTGTTAAGACGGAGTCTCACTCTGTCACCCAGGCTGGAGTGCAGTGGTGTGAACTCGGCTCACTGCAACCTCTACCTCCTGGGTGCAAGCAATTCTTGCACCTCAGCCTCCTGAGTAATTAGGATTACACACGGAGTTTCACCACATTGGCCAGGCTGGTCTCGAACTCCTGACCTCAAGTGATACACCCGCCTTGGCCTCCCAAAGTGCTGGGATTACAGGCATGAGCTTCCGCGCCCAGACTATCACTGCATTTTTAGATGAGAGAACAAAGGTGTGAAGAGGCTAATTAATATGAACAAGGTAATCTAAGTAGAAAGTAGCAGTCAGGATTCAACCATCTATCTACCCCAGAACCTATACTCAAACCACTTTTTCCTGAATGAGTAATATGATCATTCCTTAAAGTGAACCATCCAGAGAAGCAGATTTGGAGAGAGAAATAAAGAGACTGGATTTGAGCATGCTGAATATATGAAGTCTGCGAAATATTCAAGCAGGATAATTTGGCAAACACGTGAACACCAGGTCTGATGCATCAACTGGAAATCTAGCCCCAAGAACACCAACATTTAAGGGACATCAGGAAGAGGAGCCACCAAAAACCCTGAGAAGCAGCAGCCACAGAAGTAGGAGACAAGGAGCCTGGGAATGAATGGCTTTTCAACAAACTGATATTCAACTTCACACACACAGGCATGCCCATTAAACTGTACTGAAGTACCAAAGATCAAAGCTTGACAGCACATGTGTTGGAAAACAGGCACTCCCATACACTGCTGGTGGGACCATATACATGTACCATTTTGACAGAGGGCTATTTGGAACAGCTCACAAAATTACAGATGAACATACCCTCTGAGCCAGCAACTTAATTTCTAGGAATTTATCCTACAAATGGTAATGGTATTAATAAAAATATTAAGTAACCCTTTTTTTTTTTTTGAGACAAGGTCTCACTCAGTGCCACTGCACTGGCACAATCTTGGCTCACTACAACCTCCACCTCCCAGGCTCAAGTGATCCTCCTATACATAAGCCTCCCAAGTAGCTGGGAATAAAGGTGCATGCCACCATACCCAGCTAATTTTTGTACTTTTCTTGTAGAGAAAAGAACATGGTTTCGCCATGTTCCCCAGGCTAGTCTCAAACTACTAAGCTCAAGCAATCTGCTGGCCTCAGCCTACCAAAGCGCTGGGATTATAGGCGTGAGTCACTGTGCCTGGCATAAATAACCCTTAAAGGAATTAATATGTGCCATTAATAGGTCCAGGTGCAGTAGCTGTAATCTCAGCACTTTGGGAGGCCAAGGCAGGCCTGAGGTCAGGAGGCCAGACCACCCTGGCCAACATGGTGAAATCTCATCTCTACTAAAATACAAAAAGTTAGCTGGGCGTGGTGGCACATGCCTATAGTACCAGCTACTCGGGAGGCTGAGGCAGGGGAACTGCTTGAACCAGAGAGGCGGAGGCTGCAGTGAGCCGAGATCGCACCTCTGCACTCCAGCCTGGCAACACAGCAAGACTCCGTCTCAAAAAAAAAAAAAAAAAAAAAAAGAAAAAGAAAATGAGCCGGGCGCGGTGGCTCACGCCTGTAATCCCAGCACTTTGGGAGGCCAAGGCGGGCACATCATCTGAGGTCGGAAGTTCAAGACCAGCCTGACCAACATGGAGAAACCCTGTCTCTACTAAAAATACAAAATTAGCTGGGCGTGGTGGCACATGCCTGTAATCCTAGCTACTCGGGAGACTGAGGCAGAAGAATCGCTTGAACCTGGGAGGTGGAAGTTGCAGTGAGCTGAGCACGCCACTGCACTCCAGCCTGGGCAACAAGAGTGAAACTCCATCTCAAAAAAAAAAAAGAAAATGAAACCAGGTAGTGTAGCTCCACTCCTACAAGTGCAAAGTGGATGACCTATGTAGGAGATTATTCAGTGCAACCTTATATCTGATCTTGCTGAGCTTCAGGTAAAAGCTCAGAAGTGGTAATGCCATGAGGTGGGGGCAGGGAGCAGGTTCACCTAATCAAGCCAGAAAGCAAGGCAAGTTACTAGAGATGAAATGGAAGTACTTTTTCCATAGTGTTCCTGGGAAGGGCAAGGAAGGGAACCTGACATTTATTGAGCATTTGAGTTCTATAATAAGGACTAAAAATTTCATATGATTTAGGATATACAGCTCTCGTGGAGACAGCCTGAATAAAAGTCTTTTGAAGAACACCCCAAGGTAAAGGGGTGTTGACTCATTTTCCAGGATCTGCAGACTGTGACCCAGGAAACCCTTTGCCATGCCTCACCAAATGTTGATGCATCTCTTCCACACTTGCTCCCGGTGATGGATGAAGGCAGTTCTTGTGCCATGGTCCAGCCTTCCAGGGGTCTTTAGGGGATCCTTTGTCAGTTGTAGGACAGGAAGATTGATCCACTATAGCACAAAAGTGAGGAGTGTGACGGTGATTCAGTCTCTTCCCAAATCTTTAATTCCGTGCCATCTCCAACCCACCGCTGGGCTAAGTATAAGAGATTCCAGAGGTCTGTTTCCCATTTCCACAAAGCTAACACTTGTGAGAATGGGAAACAAGTCTTAGCTCCCGTATCTGTGCAACTAGAATAATATTTCATAGGGTTGCTGTGATTATGAAACCATATGACATTTTTAGAAAACACCTGACTCAGCCTCTTTCTTACATAGCAAACGCTCAATAAATGTCAGTTTCCCTTCCTTGTCCTTCCCAGGAACACCATGGAAAAAAGTTCCATGTTGTATCCTTCTGATCCTCCCCAGATACTGTCCCCAACTTTTAGATAGTTCTCCCGCATCCTCACACTCCCTAGATTCTCCCTCATTCTCTCCATTCCCTCTAGGCCTCCTCCACAGCTCCTTAACCGTTCCCCCGTTATACTCCAATCCCAGTCCTAAAACAGATTCCAGCCCTTCTAGCCTCCTGCCGGGGCCAAGCTGTTTCCACTCCGCCAGACTCTGTGACCCTGCCCCTGTCACACTGCCTCCTTTCCCCAGTAGTCCCCGACTCCGCCCCCATGCCTGTAGGTCCCCTCCCTCCTCGCCCTGGCCACCTGGCCCCGGAAGTCGGGGGGCGGGCTCTCATAGCTACTGCCCGTCACCAGCTCGTTATTGTGCTCATATAGGGTGACTTGACCCCGAGGCGGTGGAGGAGGGAACAACCCCAGAGAGCACATCTTGCCGGTTCGCAGGACGTCTGCAGTCGGCAAACTCCTGGCCGGAACGGCACAGACCGCACTCCCGCAACTCGGTTCCCGGGCTAGATTCGTATGCGGACGGGTACCGCAAGGGACAAACGGCGAGGCGGAACTCAACGGAAGTGAAGAAAAGACTAACGGGAAAGAAGGACGAGTACGCGGTCCCGGGACAGACCTCCAAAGCTTCTTCCTGCGCCCCCTGGCGGCCGGAGGGGGAGCAGCGCGGACACGTCCCCCGGCCAACCGTTGGTTACCAGGCTGGAGTGGGGTTTTTTTCTGTTGTTTTCCATGAGACTACTGTTTTTCCCAGCTCCGAATTCCCGAACACCTTCTCCCACTCACTATCTTAGCGCTTAGAAAGCCCGAAATAAGCCACATTCAGGGAAGTACCAAATTAATCCTCCCAGGCCTGTGGATCACCCAGAGGAAAATACAGGCTATGTCACAGGCAGCTGGCTGGAAAGCTGAGGGAAAAGCCTCAGAGAGGAGGAACAGTGCTGCACCCACACGGTTAGGCGTCCTGGAAAGGGAGGTGGGGACGGTTGGAAAACTAACATTTCCTGCCAGGCGCGGTGGCTCACGCCTGTAATCCCAGCACTTTGGGAGGTCGAGGTGGGTGGATCATCTGAAAGGAGTTCGCAGACTAGCCTGGCCAACATGCTGAAAACCCCATCTATACTAAAAATACAAAAATTAGTCGGGCGTGGTGGCGGGCACCTGTAATCCCAGCTAATCGGGAGGCTGAGGCAGGAGAATCTCTTGAACTCCGGAGGGGGAGGTTGCAGTGAGCCAAGATCGCACCATTGCACTCCAGCCTGGGTAACAAGAGGGAAACTTCGTCTCAAAAAGGAAAACTTTATTTTATTTTATTTTTTTGAGAGACAGGGTCTCGCTCTATTGCCCAGGATGAAGGCAGTGGTGCTATCTCAGCTCACTGCAACCTCTGCCTCCCCGGTTCAAGCGATTATCCTGCCTCAACCTCTGGAGTAGCTGGGATTACAGGCATGCTTCACCACGCCCAGCTAAGTTTGTATTTTTAGTAGAGACGAGGTTTTACCATGTTGGCCAGGCTGGTCTCAAACTCCTGACCTCAAGTGATCTGCCTGCTTTGGCCTCCCAAATTGCTGGGATTACAGGCCTGAGCCACCTTGCCGGGCTGCAAAACTATTTCCTGAGCACTTGTTACGATAAGTGCTTTTATAATCTTTACAACCCCATAAGGTGGGTGCTGTTCTGTCACCATGAGGAAAGTGAGTCACAGAGAGATTGGACCTAGATACACCCAAACCAGTTATTCTCACTTAAGAATAAAAGTAAGGCTGGGTGTGGTAGCTCACACCTGTAATCCCAGCACTTTGGGAGGCCGAGGCTGATCTCTTGAGCCCAGGAGTTCAAGACCAGCTTGGGCAAAATAGCAAGACCCTGTATCTACAAAAAATTCAAAAGTTAGCCAGCGTGGTGGTGGCAAGCGTCTTTAGTCCAGCTACTCAGAAGGCTGAGATAGGAGAATCCAGACTACAATGATCCAAGATAGCACCACTGCACTCCAGCCTGGGTCAAAGAGCGAGACCCTGTCAAGCAAGCCAGAGAGAAAGAGCCGGGCGCGGTGGCTCACGCCTGTAATCCCAGCACTTTGGGAAGCTGAGGTGGGCTGATCCCCTGAGGTCGGGATTTCGAGACCAGCCTGACCAACATGGAGAAACCCCATCTCTACTAAAAAATACAAAACCAGCCAGGCATTGTGGTGCATGCCTGTAATCCCAGCTACTCGGGAGGCTGAGGCAGGAGAATCCCTTGAACCTGGAAGGCGGAGGTTGCAGTGAGCAGAGATCGCGCCACTGCACTCCATCCAACCTGGGCAACAAGAGCGAAACTCCGTCTCAAAAAAAAAAAAAAACAAAAAACAAAACAAAACAAAAAAAAATGGGAGGGAAGGGAGAGGGAGAAAGAAAGGAAAGAAAGAAAGAGAATGGGGGCCCCTCTTACAGACTTTGGAAAAAACATTGAATTCTTTGAGTCTCACTTTTCTCATTTGCAGTGTCCTAATTATTTCATATGGTTGTTTTCCATACAAAATAATAAAATGAAGCTATTTAATAAATTTTAAAGTGCTAAACAAATGTCAGAGGTTAATAGCTATAACTGTGCCATCAACTAGGTGACCTTGGTCAGAGTTCATTAACAAATGTTAAGTGATTTGAAGATGTAGAAGGCTGTCCCCACTCCCAAGAGCTACCAGTCTCATTGAATAATCTAGGGGGCATTTAGTTCTAGTATTCTGGATTCCGTGTCTGCCCTTCTTTTTCACCTGAAAAATTCCCCCCAAGAGAGTTATTACCAGGTCAGAAAACAAAGGGCTCCAGAGTCTCCTGAAAATGCACTTCACCTGAGAAGGCAAGTGGATCTCCTCTAATCTAGTACTTCTCAACTGTTAAGGGACATAGGAATCACCTGAGCATCTCCTAAGGTGGCGCTCAGAGGCTATAGTTCCAAAGAATCCCCAGCTGATACTGCACAGACCACATTTTAAGTAGCAAGGCTCTAACCTAGCGGTCCCCAACTTTTTGGCACCAGGTTTAGTGGAAGACAGTTTTTCCAGGGGGAGCGGGGGAGGGAATGGTTTGGGGATGAAACTGTTACACCTGAGATCATCAGGCATTAGTTGGATTCTCATAAAAAGCGGGCAACCTAGGTCCTTCACGTGCGCAGTTCACAACAGAGTTCGCGCTACTATGAGAATCTAATGCCGCTGATCTGACAGGAGGCGGAGCTCAGCTTGCTCAGCTCGTCTCCGGCTGTGCGGTTCCTTTACAGGCCACCGACACGACGGGCCGTGGCGCGACCCCTGCTCTAACCTTTTCCCATAGCCCCATTTAATTTCCTATGTGAGTTCACCGTCACCTGGGAAGTCACAGAAAGCTTGAAGAACATAAGGTATACACTGGGGATGGTTTGGGGAACCTGGCTGGGAAAGCCTCCCTGAGAAGGGGAAGTGGGCAGGTTTGAGGGAGAGGAAGTCGGTGACTGACAGATTAGTGGAGAGCACTGAGGACCCACGATAGTTTCCGTTTGTACCTTAGTCGTAACACCATCCAAACCCAGATACCCCTAGGAAAAATCACTCCGGCCTGCAACTTGCATCCTTCGATGAAACCTCGATTTTCACCATCAGGTTATAATGATCGGTTAGGTGCCTGCTTCTTACCCTGTAAGGTGAACTGGAGAGAAGGAACAGTGCTGTTCCGCCCGCTGCCCCCGCCCTGGCCTGGCACAAGTACTGTCCCCTCCTCCATACTGCTTATTTAACGTTTGTGGAACGCTTTTCACCATTTGCGGGTTCTAGAAAGGCCCAAGTCCAGGCCCGGCGCGCTCACCCAGTAACTTCACCAGGGGGCGCGGCTGGCCAGGCAACGCAGCGACCGTGACCCACGCCCTATGGGCTCCGAGCGCTTAGCGGGCGGTCTCCGCCGGCCCCTCCCTACGACCTGGGCGGGAACCGAGAGAGCGCGCAGGCCGCTTCTAAAAGGGGCCCCCTACTTTGGGAGTCGTCACCGGAGCCTGGGTGCCCGGAGCTCCGCCCGCTACCCCTTCCCGGGCCCGCTGGAGCCCGGCGTCCCGACCCGGGGCCGGTAACCAGGCGCACATGGCCCGCCCGGCCCTGTTTGTCCTGGCAGCGCGCCGCCGCTATTTGAAGCGGTTTTTATCTCCCAGAAACCAGCAAAACCCCAAGCGGAGTCTAGGGAAGATGAAAGGGGCCGAAGGGTTGGGGAGGGGAGGACCGCGAGGCTGCGGCGGGCGGGAGCTGGCACCGGACAGGCGGAGACCGGGAGGCGAGAGGGCCAGACTCTGGGGGGTCCGGAGGAGCCCGCCCGGCGGGGTTGAGGCGGGATCCCGGGGTTCCACTCCAGGCCGCCGCCTCGCTCAGACCAGCTCCAAGGCGCCCCCCGCCTTTCCTCTGCCCCAGCCCCCTCTCCCGGGTCTCTTCCGTCACAGCCCCCAGCCCACTAAAGAAGTCTTCGGAACTCGGATTTCTTCAAAGCGCCTTTGAAGTCGCGCGCCCAGCCGGAGGGCAGGAGATTTCGCACCTGGGCGGGGGCGGGAGTGGCGTCAGGGTGGGGAGGGGGCTCGTAACCCGAGCCCCCCCAGGATCGCCGGCCCCCTCCCACCCGTAGCAGCCCCTCTTGCGACCCGTGCGGTGGACAGTCCGACGCGGGGCGCAGCTGGGAGTCGGGCCCAGGCCGGGGGGAGCGGCCTGTGAGCCCCCTCAGCCCAGCGGGGTAACCTTGGGGGGCGGGGGCCGCACAAAGCCCTATTGTGGCTCGGGGATGCTGCCACAGAGTGGTTTTTGTTCTTCGGCTAACTCCGTGGCGGGCACGACTGATTGCAGACCCAGGGCAGGGGGCGGGTTACGTGCCAGGCCCAGTCTGCCCGCCGGGAGCCGCACCACCGCCCGACTGGGGCCGCGCAGGAGTCCGCACTGCAACCGCGGTGCCCGCGCTCGGGTCGCGTCACTGCCCTGACCAGGGTCAGTTGGTGCAGTCCAGAAAGGGCCAGGGTAGAAACCAGTGAGTCTTCCCAACTCTGCAGAAAGCACTGCACGCCCAAAAACTGAACACCGCTGGAGGATTTGACCGAGAAACAATTTTGTTTTGTGTTTTGTTTTGAGACGGAGTCTCGCTCTGCAGCCCACGCTGGAGTGCAGTGGCGCGATCTCAGCTCACTGCAACCTCCACCTCCCAGGTTCCACGATTCTTCTGCCTCAGCCTCCCAAGCAGCTGGGATTACAGGCACCTGCCATCACGCCCGGCTGATTTTTGTATTTTTTAGTACAGACAGGGTTTCATCATGTTAGCGAGGATGGTCTCGAACTCCTGACCTCAGGTGATCCGCCCTTCTGGGCTTCCCGAAGTGCTGGGATTACATGTGTGAGCCACCACGCCCGGCCGATAAACTATTTTACCGCGAGCATAGGTGAGCAAACGTGCACAATAGAATATTCGCCCATGAGTAGTCCCCAATTTGCTAAGGAAAAAAAACCATTGGCCCTCGCTTCACCCTTCCTCTTCTCCTTTTCTCACCAGGACAAAATTTCAAATCCAACTTTTATTTATTAAATTAAAAAAAAAAGACTCCACAAAGGGCATGATCCCTTCCATTCCACAATGTTCTCTCCCCAAGCTCCAGCGGCTTTAACCCTTTAACTTGGGGCCTTGAGACAGCAGGGGACAGAAAAGGAGGATCCAACGTTACAGGAAAGGCACGAAGCGGCTTTAAAAGTCACTGGAGGTGGAGATGGGAGCATCCAAAGTCCCAGGGTGGGGGTGCGTGGATGCACCACCAGATCAGCTTGGGGGCCTCTGTCCTCCTAGCTCTTTAAGTTCTTTCTCAGGGCTTCTAGGCACCAGATCTAGCATAGTGCCTTGCACAGAGTAGGCACTCAATACATACTTATTTGAATCTGATCCTAGAGAAAGCCTTCCCCACCCATTCTTCAGGAGGTGCACCCCCAAACCAATGTCCTCCTGTTAGATGGGCTTCCCCAAAGAGCACATCTAAGATGGCAGCTGCAAGCTCTCCATAACCATGGCAACAGGGGATTAACCTGATGGGGTCATGGTGTCTAAGGGGTGGGGCAGTGGAGGAACCTGCTCTGCAGTCAAGGGAGATGGGGTACATTCCAGTCCTTCTCCCCTCCATAGGACTTGAGGTTTCACAGCTTCTGGCTGGGGCTGGGGATATTAGGGATCCCCCTAATCAAGAGATACCCCATCAACTGTTTAGCAGAGATGTAGCTAACCCAATTTGTAGAGACTTCATTACAAGAGAAACCCTATCAACTGAGATTCTGATGATAGACATTCTATTAACAAGATCTTCTCCACTAACATTTTGTCTATACAGAGATGCATTTGACTAGAATTTCCTTAGCAGAAATGGATCCACTTCCCTCCCCAGCTCACTCTACCTGACCCGTCATCATAACTTACATAAATAGAATTATTACTATTCATTACTCCTGGTACATAGGGGTTAAATATACAGGCCTGGGGGCAGCCTCCCTGACCCTGGGGTCACCCCATCTTTGGGATCAGATCCCCACTGGTCTGCCCCCCTCTTGGCACCCTCTGGCCAGGTCACTAACCCCAATACCCCTGATGAAGAGGCCACCAGGGGGCAATAAATTATCATTATCATTGTGTTTGTAAAAAGGAAAAAAGAGTTCTGGAGAATGGAAAGCAATGGTGTAAGAAGTTGGGAAGACTGAAGCCTGGAGGCTGAGGGACAGCAGGAAATAAGCTTGAGAAGCAGAAAGGGGTACATGTCAAGGAGTGAGATGGAGAAATAGTGTTGGGAGCCCAAATAGAAAGTGTGTTGGTGTGGCAGGGCCAGAGTCTAGGAAGCCGGAGTGCAGGTATCAGGCACAAGGGGAGGGCCTGAGATGAGAGTTTGTGGAAAGCCAGTCTCATGGTGAAGAGAGAAGGTGAGCTGAGGAGGCATGCAAGGAGATACCCAAGCCCAGAATGGCCAGGAGGGAGACAGAGGGAGAGAGCCCCGAAGGATGGCATGCATGGGGTAAAGAGAGTGATTGGCAAGCAGTGGTCTAGAGAGCCAAGAGAGACTGTCAGGGCAGCCCTGGGGTGG
Organism: Homo sapiens; assembly: GCF_000001405.40. NCBI lineage: Eukaryota > Metazoa > Chordata > Mammalia > Primates > Hominidae > Homo > Homo sapiens. The sequence continues at coordinate 51,879 of NW_025791795.1, forward strand.
GAGACCTTCCACCCGGCTCAGATCTCCAGCAAGTTGCTCTGCTCAGGGCTGCCTCCAGGGGCTTTCTCTGGGGTTGCTGGCGAGGCAGAAGGTCGGGGCGTCTGACTGGCCTCCTCTTCCCCCGTGCTGCGGCCCTCCCCCAGCTCCTTGGGGCCACTGGGAGGGGGACCCGGGCCTGGTTCTCCATGGGTGCGCTGGTGTTTGCTCAGGTGGTCGCTTCGGGTAAAGCGCTTGGAGCAGAGCAGGCAGGTGAACTTCTTCTCCCGGGTGTGAGTGCGCACATGACGCTCCAGCTCATCCGAACGAGTGAACCTCTTGCCGCAGAAGAGCCAGTTGCAGACGAAGGGCCTCTCGCCTGTGTGCCAGCGCAAGTGGGCCTTCAGGTGCGAAGCCTTGCCATACACCTTGCCGCAGCCAGGGATGTGGCAGCTGTGGATGGGCTTCTTCCGCAGCCCAGCCGCTGCTGCTCCCAGCCGCTCTAGCTCCTGGCAATTAGGGCAGTCGCAGGAGGAGCGCCCTGCCCCACTGCCCCCATATCCACCACTACCCCCAGTGCTTGCACCCCGTGGGGGTTTGGCTCCACCACTCCCTTCTAGCTGCCCACTATTTCCCACTGCCTTGGGTTTATAGACATCTTGGGGCAAGACATGCTGGGGCCCTGGTTGCAAGAGGTGGGGAGCTGGGTAGGGGGCTGGATTAAGGGGAGCAAAGTCAGATGGGTAGGTGGGCAGCTGGGGGTTCAGTGGAGGCTGAGCTGGACCTGTGGGCAGTGTCCCTTGCAGCCCATCACCCTGGCCCTGCCCACCACCTAGCCAGTTGCCTCCAGGGTGCATATCCCACCATGGAGTAGGAGTGTTGCCTGGGCCTGGTGAAATGCCTGCATGGATGCCTGCCTTGTACCAGGAGCCATAGGGGTGTGTCATGTCCAGAGAGGTGTAGACACTGGGCAGACAGTCAGAAGAGCTGTGCCCCTTGGGCACTAGTAGCCCAGGGTCCTGGGTGCCTGTGGGCCCAGGGAATGAGTGGGAAAAGGGAGGGTAATCATTAGCATAGCCTGAGGTGGGTGCTGGAGGACTGCCTGCAGGTGAAAGGAGCCCATTAGTGCTTGTAAAGGGGGCTGGATAAGCATCCCCCATGGTTTTGGAGGCTGAAAGGTCACTGCCCACAGAGTACGGCTTCTTTGTGCCTGCTTTGCCCAGAGTTGTTGAGTCCCGCAGAGGGCTAGAGCCACCAAATTTGCTGCACGCTGCCGTCAGCATGGCCAGGGGACTGGAGCCATAGTGAACTTCCTCCTGTGGAAAGAGGGACGCACTGCTTAGGGAGAGGGGAGGAGAGGTACAAAATGAAGGGCAACACTTTAGGACTGAGACCTAGAGACATCCACAACAGAACAGAGGGGTCAGGGAAGAGTTGAAGAGGGTGGAGAATTACAGGTAAAAGAGGTTAGCCAGTGAGGGCTGGACCTCAGGGCAGACTCATGGAGTCGTGGGAAGAAGAACAGAGGCCCAAGACTGCAGCTCAGTATCCCAACCCAGAAGGCAGGAAGCAGAGCTCATTCTGGAGTTGCTAGGGGTGTACTAGGGGCCTCCAAGGAACAGGAGGTTCTTTTTCTTTTTTTTTGAGATGGAGTCTCGCTGTTGTCGCCCAGGTTGGAGTGCAATGGTGTGACCTCGGCTCACTGCAACCTCCGCCTCCCGGGTTCAAGAGATTCCCCTGCCTCAGCCTCCGGAGGAGTTGGGATTACAGGCACCCACCACCACACCTGGCTAATTTTTTTGTATTTTTAGTAGAAACAGGGTTTTGCCATGTTGACCAGACTGGTCTCAAACTCCTGACCTCAGGTGATCCGCCCACCTCGGCCTCCCAAAGTGCTGGAATTACAGGCATGAGCCACTGCGCCCGGCCTTTTCTTTTTATTTAAAAAAAAAATTATTTTTTGAGACAAAGTCTTGTTCTGTCACCCAGGCTGGAATGCAGTGGCCCAATCTCGGCTCACTGCAAACTTTGCCTCCCAGGTTCAAGCAATTCTCCTGCCTCAGCCTCCCACATAGCTGGGATTACAGCCGCACGCCACCACATTGAGCTATTTTGTATTTTTAGTACAGACGCAGTTTCACCATGTTGGCCAGGCTGGTCTTGAACTGATGACCTCAAGTGACCCAAAACTCCTGACCTCAACCTCCCAAAGTGTTGAGATTACAGGTGTGAGCCACCGCACCCAGCCAAAAAAATATTTTTAGAGACAGGGTCTCACTCTGTCTCCCAAGCTGGATGGAGTGCAGTAGCACCATCACAGCTCACTGTAGCCTCAAACTTCTTTCTGGGCTCCAAGCGATCCTCCACCCTCAGCCTCCAGAGTAGTTAGGACTACAGGCACACACCAGGGGCTCTTTTTAAATGGCTGTGAGAAGAACTGGGGATAGAGACAGCAGCTAGGTGAAGTGAGAATTGGGGATCCTGACCCTTGGAAGTAGGTTTGGAGCAGATCGAGGCCATGGGCAGGGCCTTGGAGAGGAAAGATGAGGCTCAAAGTGCAGTGTAGGGAGAAGGTCAAAGTATTAGGGGACTATATTTGCTCCCATGACAGATTTTCCCAGCTTCATCCCATACCCGATATTCCATTTCCTGTCGCTGCTTCAGCTCCTGACTAAGGCAGTGGTCTTGTCTCCCTGAGGTCCAATCCTCATGTCCCTGCTAAGGAATCTCTTGGCAGAGACTCCGGCTGGAGAGCAAGAGGAAGTGATGGTGGAGACACTGGGACATTGAGAGGGAACAGGGCTGCCGCCAAGCCCAAACTGTGGCTGAGACAAGAATGCCTTTCAAGCAGGCAGTGAGCACCTCCTGCTTTGTGGTGCCAGCTGGTACCCCTTTGAGAGGGCTGTAAGAGCCCAAAGTCGTCATGCCCTTCCAAGGCAAGGAATGGGGTAACTAAGATACTGGCCCACAGCCACACTGCTTCATGCCTCAGTGTCCCCTAACATGTAGTCCTTCTAGCACTGTGAATGAAGGAAGACATGGATGTAGTATATGGGAGTCTTTTAGAAATGCAAGGGTATCTTCTAGCCAGGCGCGGTGGCTCACGCCTGTAATCCCAGCACTTTGGGAAGCTAAGGTGGGTGGATCACTAGATCAGGAGTTCAAAACCAGCCTGGCCAAGATGGTGAAACCCCATCTCTACTAAAAATATAAAAAAATTATCTGGGTGTGGTGGCAGGCGCCTGTAATCCCAGCTATTCGGGAGGCTGAGGCAGAGAATTGCTTGAACCTGGGAGGTGGAGGTTGCAGTGAGCCAAGAAGGTGCCACTGCACTCCAGCCTAGGCTACAGAGCAAGACTCCATCTCAAAAAAAAAAAAAAAAAAGAAAGGCAAAGGTATCTTCTTAATGCCCACCATGCTGCTGCTACCAGGCCAAACCACTCTCAAGATCTTTACCTCTCAGGAACTCATGGTTCCTGATGGTGCCTCTCCCTGGGTGAGGCATCCAAGGAGGAAATGCCCTATAGCATCCCTGGCTGGCATAGACGGTCATTCATTGCTGGGAATCCCACCAAAAAAGATGCCCTCAAAATCTACCCCTATACAGTTATATGGGTATGAAAGGGCTAGAAGAACAGTTTTGAGGATTGGGTTCTTCATAAACTCATATGGGCCTGATCCTTTCCCAGTAAGGCTGAGAAAAGAACTCAAGAATCCAGAGTTCTCACACCTGTCTGGTAGCTCTTAGCATGTAGTATGTGTACGATGCCAATCCGAGAGGTGGGCCTGGGGCCCTGGGGTTGCCATGAGGCATGTGTGCAGTCCCCACTTCTGCGCTACACCCCAAGTGCAAACCTGCTGCTCTTCCTGCACAGTTGCCTCTCTCTAAGGTCCCGTTGACTCCCAAACTGAGCCACCAAAAGTTTTCTCCAGTCTAACCACAGTGAACACTCACGGTTCCCCCAGTCAGGGTTTCCCGGGAACCCCTGATCTTCCAAGCAGCGGGTGAGCTATGGCAGGGTAGCTGATGGGGAGGAGTCAAATCCTAGCAGAAAGAAGAGGTAGAAACATGGAGTTCAAAGCAGAGAGGCAGATACCCAGAGATATGGGGCACAAAGGACCTGCATAGGGTAAGGGATTGACAAAAAAGACCCATAGCAATGGGGGAAGGAGGACCTGAGAGGAAAAATTGGCATTGAATAGCAGAAATAGCTATAATTCCAGCACTTTGGGAGGCCAAGTGGGGGAGGGTTGCTTGAGGCCAGCAGTTTGAGACCAGCCTGGGCAACATAGTGAAACCCCATTTCTATAACAGATTTTAAAATTAGCTGGGCTTGGTGGTGCATGCCTGTAGTCCTAGCTCCTCAGGAGGCTGAGATGGGAAGCTCACTTGAGCTAAGTAGTTAGAGGCTGCAGTGAGCTATGATTGTGCCACTGCACTGCAGCCTGGGCAACACAGCAAGACCCTGTCTCAAAAACAACAGCAACAACAAAAAAGAAGCAGAAATAGGCAGGGACCTAAAAGACCAGAAAGGTAAAAAGACACAAACTAAGAAGGAGAGATGATGGAAAAGAGACTGGGCTAGAAAAGCAAAGGAAAGCAGAGAAGAAAAGAAAGGAGTGGAAAAAAGAAAAGGGGGAGGAGGAGGAAGAAGGCGGCCTTCCTACCTAAGAGAAAACCACCATGGTGCTGGGCCCCAGAAAACCCCCAGACCAGGCCACTCCTCCCTTCTTCTCCCCCCTGACCGCCCCCTCTCCCTCTGCCCAGCCCGGCTCCGATGGTTTCCCTGCGGTCGGTTTATTTTTAAAAACGCCGACGCCGTCCCCCGCCCGGCCCTCACACTGCGGCCACAGGGGCCTCAGCCAAGCCCAGGGACCCCACCCAGCTGTGGGGAGGGAAGGAGGGGTGAAAGAAGGCAGCCAGCCCCAGGCCAACAGGAGACCCCAGCCCTGGGGAGTGGAGGCCCAGAGGGCCCTCGAGGGCAGGGAATGGGGAGCGAGGAACCAGACCCACTCAGAATGCTCTGGGGGCTACAGGCTGAGCACGTGGCTAAGTTTCACCACAGCCTCAGTTTCCTTCTCTTGCTGATTGTTCTCTCCTGAGAACTTGGGGAAAGAGCACTGGTTAAGAGTTCTAAACATGTGTCCCCATACCTGATCAAATGTGTTCCCTTTCCAGGGCCCAGCAGTCCCACCTTCGAGTTGTTCCCTCCCGACCTCCACCCCACCACCCTTAAAACAAAACAAAACAAGACAAACAGAATTAAAGTATTGAAGTGGGAGTGTTTGGAAAAAGAACAAGATAGGAGCTGTCCCAACTCTCCCACCCAGATGTGGAGCAGGGGAGGGGGATCCCCTCCTCCCAGGGAGCTCATGGTGCAGTGCCCAGCCTGGCCTCCCAGCGGAAGTGCTCACTAGACATCTCAGGGCTGACTGGCCTTAGGTTTGGAGCAGTCAAGGTCCCATTTTCCAGTTCTCAACTTTCTCAGCCTTCTCCCAAGTTTCTTCGTTTTCCCAGCTTCCCAATTCTCCTTTCCCACCTAGGCCCCCAACAATTTCTTCCCCTTCCCTGTTCCCCTGAATCTCACTTGGCCGAGGTGAGCCCCCCATCAAGCAGCAGCTGCTTCCCACTGCCAGAGAGCCCACCCATACAAGGTGGAGGGCTTCCTGGGGAGGTGGGGAGGAAGTTGAGGGCCCAGGTACTCAAAAACTAGGTGCAAGTGGTCGAGGGACAGGAGGGACTGGTGTGCCTTCGTGTTGCAGGCATCTCCAGCTCACAGGAGTGAGGGGACATGAAAGTCTAGCTTCCACAACACTCTCCTTTCGCCATGCACTATCCCAATCCCATGTCTTTCCAGCAGGCCTCTGGGCCAGTCCCTCCCAAGCCACCAGCGCCACGTTGGCAACACTGGCATGATGCCCACGCCCACTGACACTGTCCCTGCCCTGGGTGGACCCAGGATTTCCATGCATCTTATTCCTCAAGACCACAGTGTTTCAATGATGGCTCAAAATAGAGTCTGTTGGGGAGGTGGCAGGATGACAGTCTGCTCCCATTGCAGCTACGGGTAGACCCCTGGCTGGATACAGAGTGTGACAAGGGACGTGGTGTCCATCTGGTTGGCTTGCATGCTATTCCCCCAAACTCAGCCACAAATTCACTATCTCACAGCCTTGTGCACACACCATTTATCACTTGGACTCACAGCACTCAGATGGCCCAACTTACACACACACACACACACACACACACACACACACACACACACACTCTCAGGGCCTGTGGCACCCTCGACTGCACCCTAACGATTACACTCAGGCCAATGAACACAGGTGTTAAAAGACTCCTGCCCCATCTCACAAACACACACCTCTCCCACAGGTTGAGTGAGTTGGCTTCCTGTTTGGCCCAGCACCCCTGGGCCTGAGCTAGGGCACTGGGAAGAGAGATGTGGGACCCAAGAATAGGGAAGAGTCAAGGCTACTGAAGGGGACTGACTTTCAGGGAGGGCCCTCTGGCCCTAAATTCCTGCAGAGAGACCCAGAAAGCAGGACAGAGATGGTGACAGAGGAACAGTGTCAGAGACCCAGAAGCAGGGAGGAATCTGGCCCTGAGTGGCTGTGAGCCCTGCCTTCCCAACTCTGTGCCTTGGGTCCCCCAGAAGCCAGAGTAGAGTCAGAAATTTCTCAAGACCCCAAACCCTGACCCCAGTGGTACCCCAATTCCCTTTGTCCCCAGCACCAGAGGCAAGGGATGCTGGGGTCCCAGCCCGGAGGGGAAGTGGCCCAGTCCGCCCTGGAGCCTCCCACTCCCAAAATAGAGCTGAGTTTGTCTTTGGCTGAAAGCTAAATATTTGTAAGCCGGGCAAGCGGCCTCAGACCCCGTCCCTCCTCCTTGGTTCCCTCACAGGCCTGGGCTCAGTTCCCCTGGTCAGCTCCCCCACAGGCACAGGCTGGCCTCCTCCTTTCTCTCATAGCCTACCTCCTCTCCTCCACACACCAGCTCACGGGCCCAGCCCCCTCCCCACAAAACCAGGCAAGATCCTGTCTGGGCTACGAGTCCCAGGAGACGGGACCCCTAAAGAGCTATACCCAGTTGCTGCTCTGTGCCCACTCAGCCAGTCCTCTCTGCCTTCTATCTCTTCTGCCAGCTTATGTATTTCCCACCCCTCTCTCCTCACTCCCCCTCGCCCCCCTCCCCCTCCTTTCTCCATCGCTTTTCCACTCCTCACAGTCAGTGTGCTTAGCTGACCTTAGGTAGGGGTCCATGCCTTCTTCTGACCTAATCCCCTCTCACCCTCTTTCCACTGCCCTCTGACCCCTGGCCCTATTCTTCCCTCCCTTTTCTCCTGCCCTCTGCTTCCCCTTTCTTGGACCCCACTCCTCTCTCCTCATCAGAAGGACCCCTGGAATTGACAAGCACCACAGCTACTATCTATGTGAGTTGGAGGAGGTGGGTGGGCAAGGACTAGGACCATTAAGGTTGTGGCTGGTTTCCTGGGGGGAAGAGGGGACAGTTACCTCAAGCAGGGAGGACGCCATCCTGAGGCTGGGGAACGGGTCCCAAGGAGCCAGGCAGATGGAGAGAGCTGAGCCGGGGGGTGGGGGGGGTAGAGAGAGAAAAGGGAGAGGGAGGGAGAATGGGAGAATGGGAGAGAAGAGATCTAAAGTTAGAAGGGACCGGGGTGGGGGGCTGCTCTCTGTCTGTAGGGATCCACCCTCTAATTACAGCTTTCCCAGCGGAGAAGGCTCCAGATCCAATGAGGAGGGCGAGAGAGGGAGGCAGAGGGTCCAAATTTCCTGCTCCATTTGCTGAGCTCCCCAAAGAAGGGATCAGGGAGGGAGAGGAGAAAAAGGGGCGCCCATGGAAGGGGTGGGAAGCAGGAAGAGGGGAGAGCAGCATGGGCAAGTTGTCAGGGCTTCCTCGGGGGGCTGCTGAGGGGAGAGGTTAAAGGGATGGTGGACCCCGGTGTCCTACACGCGGCAGCAGTCCCATAGGCATCTGTGGGCACCCCTCCCAGAGCTCCCCAGTGTCATGTACCTGGGGGAACCTGGGGCTGGCTGTCCCGAGTCTCTCCTCTCTGGAGGTCTGGCAGGGAGAGTGCAGGCAACGGGTGGCCTGAGGGTGCTGGGAGGGATCCGCTCTCTCCCAGGCCAGCTCCACTCCTGTTCCACTCAGGCTCCGGTCCTACAGTCCTACTCTGACTCCAGAGTCCTTGCTGCTGCTCGGCGGCTGCTGCTTCTGCTACTGCTGCTGCCTAGGCTGCTGCCGCCCGCCGCTGCTGAGGGAAGGAACAGGAGGGAAAAGGAACAAACCCCAAACCACTAATTAGAGATCCAGGGGGGGGATGGGGGGTTGGGGACGACACTCACACAGAGAGACTGGAACGCACTGACATACACACTCATGGCCAAACACAGGGGTGATGCATGCACACGTACACACAGTACCACTCACATGGGTACAGCCACTATCATGAATGAACACAGACGGACACACACAAATGCACACAGTGACGCACTGGAGGCACACGCACCACACCCGCCCCAGCTGACCATGGAGAGGCTTGCTTCCCCAGTCACCCACCTGCCTCTAGATCAGGAGAGCAGTGTGTATGTGCCCCTGTGTGTGTGTACGTGCCCGTGTGTGTGTGTGTGTGTGTATGTTGTGGGAAGAGGCATGGAAGGTTCTGAGGTGGAGGTTTCTGCTGCCTAAACTTTTAGTGTCACTGAGGTTGGTTCCAGAGCAAGGCCTGGAGGAAGGGTTGAAGAGTTGGGGAAGGCTTGGTATTGGCTTGGGGGTCCCTCAGTCTTCCTCCCAGTGCCTCAGTTTCACTGTTTGGAGGTGATACCTAGGCCTACCTCACTTTGTGGGGCAGAACCTGGATCTTCTGATGAAGAGAAAATTTAAGACAAGCAGGAGTGAGGGTGGCGGTAGAAGGTCATTGGGTCAACTCATTCATGCCGACACCTAACCTCTTTGGATTATTTCCCCCAAAAAGAAATGCCCTAACCTCCATATTCCTTGTCAGTTACCATCCCTGGGTAACCAAGTTACCATCTCTTAGAGACCATGGGTTTAATCTCCATCCTTTGGTGGACAGTTCTCCAGAGTGATCTGACTTTCCTGGGAACTCCTGGTTCCCTTTCTCATTGCCATGCATCAATTCCCTCTTCCACAGAAAGAACTGAAGTTAGAACTTAATAAGGACTTCCCAACAAAATAGGAAGTAAGAGAAGGAAGGGCAGCCAGGTTAGGAGGGAAACCCAAAAAGTCTATTACCTGAAACCTGGGCCATGGGCCCTGAGGTATTTATGGGAGAGAGGACTGGGCAGCTAAGTGGTGACACCGGCAGCTCTCCCACAGGGGGGCTTAGCCCGCTGGGGTTGTTTTACAGGTTATTCCTTAACACACACTTCTCCCCCTCCCAGCTCTCCCTGTCAGGGGAATAAAGCCCCATCCTTTCCACTCTCCTCACTCTGCAACACCATCCCCTCACTTTCTCGGAGTGCCCAATTCCTTGCTCCTTTTGCTCTCCCAGATCTCCAAAGAAAAAGCTGGGAGGTGGCAGGAGCAGATGGAGGTCCACGGAGGGTTGCACAGCAGTTTCGCCAGCAGGTAGGCACCAATTTCAGGGTAGGGCCCAGGAGTTCTGGATTCTAGCCCCATGATTTGATTTACCTCAAGGAACTCTGGGAACCCAAGGTTTAGGGGAAGGGTTTGGGAACCAGGTGGCTGATAGACAAAGAGAAAGCAGCAAAAGAAGAAACAGAGCAAATGAAAGAGTCCAAGACAATCAGAAGAGATATCACCAGGTATAAGAGAGAGGAAACAGGAAAACAGAAGACCAGATGTGTGGCTTTAAACAACAACAACAACAACAACAAAAAACAGAGCAGGAAAGAAACTAAAAAGATAAAGAAACAGGCCCAGAGGAACAAAGATGGGGAGACAATGGCTTGGGAAGGACAGAGAAAATAGCCTGAGGCATAGCCAGGTCCGGAGGAGGAGGAGGAGGAGGAGGAGGAGGAGGGTTGTGTTGCCAGGCAGGTGGGGGGGCGGGGAAGGAGTATAAATAGCACATAATTGTGTCCGCTGATTACACGGGCCACCCCACCCGTCTGCCTGAGAGGAAGTGCCCGTGGTGGGGTGTCCCTGTGACCTCGCGGTCTCCCCCTTGTTGGGGGGGAGTCTGAGACTGAGGTGCCAGATGGCTTTCCGGGGCCCCGAACTCAGAAGTTGAGAAAGAGAAGCTTTAGAGAAATTCCTGTATCACCAGCAGAAAAGCCCGACCCAGTTAGATCAGGCAGGAAACTGAGGCAGAGGAGGAGAAAGTCTAGATTCTAAAGAAGAGATAGCAGGTGAGGAGGGGGTTGGGACTCAGATTAGATGAGAGAAGAAAGGAAGAAACTGAAGGGGAAAAGGAGGAAGGATGGAAAGATAAATGGACAGACAGGGCTGGGGAGAGGAGTTGGAAGGAAGGGTCACCTTCTCACTCCCCGTGTGGGCTTTAATCCCTAACCCTACCCGGGAAGGGGCAGACGTATTCAAACCCTACTATTCTCTATTCGAACCCTACTATTCTCGGAGAAATAAAAAGGAGGAGCAGAGTCCCAGGAAGATGTGAGCCAGTGCCCCGATGTGTCAACATAGGACACCCTCTGGACACAGAGCCTCTTCCCCACCAGAGATCAGCGCCAAAGATAGGCAGAGGGGCTGCCTGAATCCCCCAGCTGCTGCCCTCAGGAACCCCTGGGTTCTGACTTCTCCATGTCCTTTTTAAAAATAGTCCTGCAGCCCAGCTGAGGCTCTGGTGTTCCTGGGTCCAGCTCCCCAGTCTCCTTCCCAGTGCCCTGAGGGGCTGGGGGCAGCAATTGGAAGCCCTAACCAAGGACCTACCTCCACCCTCTCAGGCCTCCCTCAGCCCAGCCTCCCAGGGGGTGGGGCAGACCAGGGAGAGGCGCCATGTGGCAGGGGCGGGTAGAGGCTGCGGCTCTGGTCCTTCCAGTATAAACCCCCTAGGCATCTGGTTTCTATCCACCACCCCCCACCACCCTGGGGGCCCCTCAGCCTCCGCCCATGGCCACCCAGACGCTGAGCTCCAAGGGATGGATGCCCCAGACGGAAGGGGTGGGATGATGCCTTTCTGATATCCCAATGCCAGGACTGGGCTGAACCACAGGAACCATTCCCTTCCCACCCTCCCCTAGGAGAATCAGGGTGGGCTTTGTAGGTTAGAGGGGGTTGAATCTGGCACCTGCCTCAGTTCTCCAAATGATTTTGGATCTTTTTGGAAAGATCAGTGGGGTGAAAACAGAATGAAAACTGGGGAGAGTGGGGCCGGGTGCAGTGGCTCACGCCGGTAATCCCAGCGCTTTGGGAGGCCAAGGTGGGTGGATCACCTGAGGTCAGGAGTTTGAGACAGCCTGGCCAACATGGTGAAACCCCGTCTCTACTAAAAATACAAAAATCAGCTGAGCGTGGTGACGGGTGCCTGTAATCCCAGCTACTTGGGAGGCTGAGGCAGTAGAATCACTTGAACCCAGGAGGTGGAGATTGCAGTGAGCTGAGATCATGCCATTGCACTCCAGCCTGGGCAACAAGAACAAAACTCCATCTCAAAAAAAAAAAAAAAGAAAGAAAAAAAAAACTGGGGAGAGTGGGAGACCTGTACCCCCTATTCCCAAGGGATGCTACTTCCATCGTCCACACCATCACCCTCTACCACCTTTCTAGGCTGGGCTGTCTCTAAGAGCCTCATCCAAAGGGACTCCCAACTCTTCATTGTTGCTGTTATAGAAGGTTTGACTACCCTAGGGAGAATCACCAGAGAATAGTGAGCAGAGCCCCTGAAATAGAGACTGACACATGCCCTAATACATACCTGATGACAGACACATTCAGATCTGCATACTTGCACACACACAAGGTGACACATAATTCATACACATTTGTACTATGCAGGCATCCATATTGACACACACTGATATATACATATACAGATAATGCTTACCCCAAGACACCCTAACCCCCAATCATAAAAATGCACACACCAGTATATATATACATGCATACAGACTCACAGCCACCTAGAATACTCCCCACATGGACTCACAGACTCCCATCAACACACGTATCTACACATGTGGCAAATGTCACATACATATACCCAGGGCTACCATTACAACTTTACAGCCCTGGAGATCTCTGTGGTCTCCTAAAGGGCATTTGGGAACCCCTCTCCCTATAAGGATCTGGAGATAAGGGTGATATGGAGGCCACTGCCAGTCCTGCAAATTGCTGCCTCCAACTCCTACTAGTATAAGAAGTTCCAGTGTACCTTTAGGTACTTTTGATCCAATACTCCACACACACACCAGAGTTCAGAGACCCAGATGGCCCCAGCGAACTCCCTGGTCCTGGGGAACCCCAGCATCCCTACCCCCACCCAGGCCCCCGCTGCTCTGCGGCCCCGCTGACTCATCTCTCCCTCTGTGGAGCTCCCCAACCACAGGGGCCTGGAAGAGAAGCTTGGAAAGTTGCGCTCATGTCCCGGGCCCCTGGTCTGGCCACTACCCGCCCATGCACCCAGCCCAGCCCTTGTCTCCAGTGGATACTCCAGCGACAGAGAACATAGAGGGGACAGGAAAGAAGAAGGCACGCAGAGACAGGGAAACAGAAAGACACAGGAGAGACAAAGAGGAAACAACAAATGGTGGGCATACAGATGAGAGACCCTGAGGATCAGCTACTAGTCTGTTGGGTCCTCTAAGAGCAATGGGGCTGATGACCAGGAAAGCTTGCTCCTTGGGTTGAAGGAACATCCATTCATGGCCTCAGGATTTAGAGACTGCCGAGTGCCTTGACCCAGCATTTCTGACACTAGGCTCAGGGTACTTGGGGAAGAGGATCCAATTTTAGGAGGCAAAGCTGAGGACACAGGGTAGAAAGGAAGCTTTTAAGAGGCTGGCAACCTTTGTATAGGACAGCTTGGAAAAGGAGTTCCTCACCCCAACAAATATGTACACAAATTTACAGGTACAGACAGACTACAACTTCCCTCCCTCTCTGCTAGGTCTCCCCATCCCCTCTTCCAGCACCAGGGCTGCAAGGCAGGACCTCTGGGACTGACTCTGGCTCCCCTCTTCCCTGAGCCTTGGGTTCCTTCATTGACATTGAGCCCTGATATAATTCAGCAGCTTTAGGAGAGGCAGATCAGAATCAGAAACAGAAGTGCCATGGAAGGAGCAGGAAGGAATCTGGATGGCAGGGGACAAAGTGAAAAATGAAAGGAAGAGGAAGACTGGGGTCTGATTCTGAAACAAGGGGACCTGTCCTGGATGCCCGTGTCTAAAATGGGACAACATTGAATTAAGTAAGAACCTGGTCATCTCTAGAAAATGACCCTTTGTAAAAACGATACCCTAGAATCTGATCCATGAAATATACTAGTGTCTTTCATAAGAAGAAGTTGGGGTGATGGAGTTCTGATCACATCATCCCTAGGAGTGAGGCTGAGCAACTCAAGGGAATGGTCCTTCAAAATCCTAAATACAGGCCTGGTGAGGTGGCTCACACCTGTAATCCCAGCACTTTGGGAGGCCGAGGTGGGTGGATCACCTGAGGTCAGAAGTTTGAGACTAGCGTGGCCAACATGGCAAAACCCTGTCTCAGGCTGGCCGAGGTGGCTCATGCCTGTAATCCCAGCACTTTGAGAGGCTGAGGAGGGCGGATCACGAGGTCAGGAGATCGAGACCATCCTGGCTAACATGGTGAAACCCTGTCTCTACTAAAAATACAAAAAATTAGCCGGGCGTGGTGGCGGGCGCCTGTAGTCCCAGCTACTTGGTAGGCTGAGGCAGAAGAATGGCGTGACCGGGAGGTGGAGCTTGCAGTGAGCCGAGATCGCGCCACTGCACCCCAGCCTGGGCGACAGAGCGAGACTCCGTCTCAAAAAAAAAAACAAAAAACAAACAAACAAACCCTGTCTCTACTAAAAATACAAAAATTAGCTGGGTGTGGTGGCGCGTGCCTGTAATCCCAGCTACTCTGGAGGCTGAGGTAGGAGAATCACTTGAACCCAGAAGGCAGAGATTGCAGTGAGCCGAGATTGTGCCACTGCACTCCAGCCTGGAAGACAAGCGAGACTCCATTTAAAAAAAAAAAAATTCCTAAATACACACGTCTCCCCGCTTTCTCTGGCCTGCTGCATTCTTCCTCGGAGCCCAGATTTTTGAAATGTGGAATGAACTTAAAGAACATTCTTTCATTCAACAAATGTTCAGAAAGCACCTACTTTGTGCTAAGCACACTGGGCTAGACTTAGGCATGCAATAACAAGCAAGACAGACTCATCCCTTCACCTCACAAACTAACCAGCAACTAATACAAAAGAGTAGGAAGTATCTCGATAGAATAAGTACTGGAGGGCCAGGCGTGGTGGCTCACGCCTGTAATTCCAACACTGTAGGAGGCCAAGGTGGGTAGATCATAAGGTCAGGAGTTCGAGACTAGCCTGGCCAAGATGGTGAAACCCCATCTCTACTAAAAATACAAAAAAATTAGCCAGATGTGGTGGCAGATGCCTGTAATCCCAGCTACTTGGGAGGCTGAGGCAGAGAATTGCTTGAACCTGGGAGGCGGGGGTTGCAGTGAGCCAAGATTGTGCCACTGCATCCCAGCCTAGGTGACACAGAGAGACTCCGTCTCAAAAAATAAATAAATAAATAAATAATAAATAATAAAAATAAAATAAAATAAAAAATAAGTACTGGATGTTATAGGAGACAAAAGAGTAAATCTAAGCCAGTGTTGGGGGGGAATTAAGGAAGGCTTCCTGGAAGACAGCATGACTAAGTAAAGAAACTGAAGGACAAATAAGAGTTATCAAGTAAAAAAAGGAAGAGTGGTGCCAGTGCAGTGGCTCATGCCTGTAATCCCAGCACTTTGGGAGGCTGAGGTGGGTGGATCACTTGAGTCTAGGAGTTTGAGACCAGCCTGGGCAACATGACGAAACCCCATCTCTACAAAAAATACAAAAAAAAAAAAACATAGTCTGGGTGACAGAATGAGACCTTGTCTAAAAGAAAAAAAAAAGGAAGAGTGTTGTAGGAAGGGGGAAGAGTATATGCAAAGGCTCAGAGGTATGAGGGATTAACAACTTTTGAGATGCTGAAAATTGAGTGTGAGTGCAACACAGAGTGGAGGCTGATGGAGAAGTTCTAATCAGCTATGCAAGGGGCCTAGACTTGATCCAAAGGCAATATATGAGAATACTCGTATATTAGAGAAATGACTGACTTCAGAGAGGAGAATGAAATAAGGGCTTAGAGCCAGGCGGTTCTGGGTAAATCAGGCATTTACAATGGTGCAAGCTTGGGTGAGCTATTTAACCTTTGAGGCCTAAGATTCCTCTCCTGTTGAAAGGGGCAACTTAATATGGTAACCTCCCAGGGTTGTTACAAGGATTAGCAATAAAAAGTGTTGAGTTCTTAGCACAGTGTCTGGCACTTAGTAGTTGCTCCATAAATGGTGCCTAGCAGTATTGTCACAGTTGGGAGAAGGGCAAAATCGGAGGCAAGGAAACAATCTGTTGCAGCAGTCCAAGCAAGATGTGGGAAGGTGTGGCCTGCAGTAGCAGAGAGGATGAGCAGAAGTCAGTGGAGGGGGCCAGCACGGTGGCACATACCAGCACTTTGAAAGGCCAAGGCGGGCAGATCACTTGAGCCCAGGAGTTTGAGACCAGCCTGGCCAACATGGTGAAACCCCTTCTCTACTAAAAATACAAAAATTGGCTGTGCCAATTTTTGGCACATGCCTGTAATCCCAGCTACTTGGGAGGCTGAGACATGAGAATCTCTTGAGCCTGGGAGGCGGAGGTTGCAGTGAGCTGAGATTGTGCCACTGCTCTGCAGCCTGGGCGACAGAGCCAGACTCTGTCTCAAGAAAAAAAAAAATAAAAAAATAAGTCAATGAAGGGGTGATATTGAGGATGTGAGGTGGAGAGGATTTGGTGTCCAATCAGATGTGAGGGGTGAGTAGTCACACATGACTTCCCTTGATCTGTGTGTTGATGTGTGCACTTGCACACAGGATATGCAGGCATTTTAGAGGTATCTATTCAGTTCTGAGAATGGCTCTTGACAGTTGCTGGATCCGGCCAACAGTGAAGGGCCAGGGCAGTATCTGAGGACCTGGCCCTCAGTCTCCCAGAAGAACCCCCGCCTCTGCCCTCTGCCCCAATCCCTCCTGAACTATTTCCTTTCCCCCTTTTCACCCATTTCTCCCTCTCCCCACCTTCCATCACCTCCCCTACATAGGAACCCGCTGTAAGTTATAAGCCTACCTAGGCCCACTTTCCACCGCCTCAGTTAATGAAGGTCCTTGGGACTCAGCTACCAACATTAACACCTCCTCCCCACATAGCCTCAATGGGACGCCCCCCTCTGGATTTCAAAGCGCTGTTCAATGCCCCCATCCACCCCCACCTCGCGTGGACGTGTGAGGCAAGAAGGACGGTTGAAGCTGAGGCAGGATTTGGGGGGTCTTAGCCCCCAGCCACAGCTGTGGGGGAGATAGGCACCCTCAGAAGGACAGGACAGGTCGTGAGCTCCGGGGCTGCTGGGAGGTCTCTTGCGGCCTAGGCCAGGCTCAGGGCCGCCGGGGATCTCGCCTCCATCCCGTGCCTCAGTGTCCCGGCGCGGCCGAGGGGCGGGCGGCAGGGGGCGGGGCGCGGGCGGGGCCGGCCGGGCCAGGCGCCCGGGCAGGAGGCAGCTGCATATCTGCGGTCCCGACCACAATTGCTGGGAGTCGCGTCCCGGAGACTGGCGGCGCTGACTCTGCCCGCTGCGGCCGCCGCGCCGATTAGAGCCCGAGAGGGAGCGCCAGCCCGGGGGAGGGGGCGGCGGCGGGGGAACTCCGGATGCCCCTTCGCCTCCGCCCAGCCAGCGCCCCCCGCTGCCCGGCCCAGTCCTTTCTCAGCCGCCCGAACCCAGGACCGGAGTCCTGCCTCTTCCGCCGTAGCTTTCTCGAGGCTGCATCCAAGCTTCTTCCTCCGGATCTTGCAGTGCCCGAGGTCCCGACGGTGCCAACATCCCGTTGGCCCCCAGCCTGCCAGTCTCTCATGCCCTTTCTCTTCCCCATCACCCCACACAGAGAGGAGTAGGGATCTCAGAGCTCCCCCATTCTCTTATCCTCCGCTCCCCAATGCACTCTCTAAGCAAAAGCCGTTCCAAGCGAAGAAGAGAATCAGAGACTCAGAGGACGGGCTTTCCAGGGCCGGAGCACCCCCTGCTGGCTGGCCCGAAGCCCCTCCCCCTCCCCCTCCAGCTGTGACCTCCAGCTGTGGTGGCTGGGAAGAGCTGGCCCCTTTGATCTAGGAGCGTGGCAACCCCCTCCAGGCGCCCCATTAACCTCCATTATCCCAATTAGGCAGCCCTCCCAGTCCTGGATCCAAGCTTCAAAGCCCCCTCAGTTGGGAGAAAAGGGAGCTGAATCGTATGCCCCCTACCTCCCCACCAAGCCACACCACTTTCAGACAAGACCCAGGTGCTCTGGTCTCCAGCTTGTGTACATGATAGCAGGGCCAGAAGAGGGACCCTCAGGGGCCACCCTCGTCCCAATACTGAAACTTCATTAAAAAGAGAAGCAGATAGGCAAGGGGACCCTCTTTTGCTGGCCCATTTTCCTGCATTCAGTGATTTCAGTGGCAGCATCCAGGTTCCTGGCTGACCTGAGCTTCCCATCAACTTATCCAGCTTTATCCTGTGGAAAGGGGAGCCAAGAACCAACCCACTCCTCCCTTAATCCTATCTCAACACTCCCTTCCTCCCTCCCTCCTGGAACAATTTCCGCTGGGGGAGCCAGAGCAGGGCCCAGCACAGTGGCCGCTTCCTGGAACATTTTCCTGTATCCGAAACCGCGGCTCCCTCCCTAGGGACCGGCTGATCAAGGCCAGATGGGAGAAGGGATGGGGGAGGAGGAGAGGGAGCCAGGCTCTCACCATCACCCCCTCCCAACACATAGGCACACCACAGGAGCCCCTGCCCTGACACACAGAGGCTGACACAGGCACACACCACATGTCATAGTCACACCATGGGCATTCATGGGGACACATGAACCACAGAGGCCAGGTCTTAGAAGAAGTTAACACACCCGTAGATGATCACCCTCTCTCTCTACCTGGCCCTCTAAAGGACCCTAAGGCCTTTCTTGCCAGATAAGGAGACCTTAGGAATCCAAGAACATTGGCACAGGATAGCAGAAGGACCTCAATTAACAGAGGAGACAGACAGAGACATCTAATGTGCCCTGCCAGACAACACCCACCAACCATCCCATTCCAATTCTAGATGGCACTCAGGCCTGCCTAACCCATCATCTCTCCAGGATCCTGGGAACTGGGGTAGAGGAAGGCTGTGGGAGCTTCTTCTCAAGTGCTACCTTCAGAGCACTTTCTAGTTGCTTCCAGATTCTTGGAGAAGATGCATATGATGTCTAGTGGGCTCGCTCATGGCAGCCAAGGGACAAAGAAAGGGGAAGAATGTGTGCAGCTGCAGGGAGCTCTGGGAGCCTAGAGGAGGAAGGAGAACACCAGAGTAACTCCTGGAGACAGAGAGTAACCCTGGGGATTTTGTGGCCTTACTGGTGACATACTGCCCCAGCACTGCTCCTCCTGATCTCTTCTATCTCAGTCTTGGTGATTGAGAAGAAGAGGGTAGGGATTATGCCCCCAGCTTAGCCCATTCTTCAACCATATTATCTTCTGCCCATCACATTTCCAGTACAACACCCTACTTTTTTTTTTTTTTAGACGGAGTCTTGCTCTGTCACCCAGGCTGGAGTGCAGTGGCATGATCTCAGCTCACTGCAACCTCTGCCTCCTGGGTTCAAGCGATCCTCCTACCTCAGCCTCCCGAGTAGGTGGGACTACAGGCGTGCGCCACCACTCCTGGCTAATTTTTGTATTTTTAGTAGAGATGGGGTTTCACTATGTTGGCCAGGCTGGTGTCGAACTCCTGACCTCAGGTTATCCACCCACCTTGGCCTCCCAAAGTGCTGGGATTACAGGTGTGAGCCACCACGCCTGGCCCTGAAGACCCTAATTTTTTTTTTTTTTAGACGGAGTCTCGCTCTGTCGCCCAGGCTGGAGTGCAGTGGCACGATCTTGGCTCACTGCAAGATCCGCCTCCCGGGTTCACACCATTCTCCTGCCTCAGCCTCCCGAGTAGCTGGGACTACAGGCGCCCGCCAGCAGGCCCGGCTAATTTTTTGTATTTGTATTATTATTTTTATTATTTATTTATTTTTTGAGACGGAGTCTCGCTCTGTCACCCAGGCTGGAGTGCAGTGGCACGATCTCGGCTCACTGCAAGCTCCACCTCCCAGGTTCATGCCATTCTCCTGCCTCAGCCTCCCGAGTAGCTGGGACTACAGGCGCCCACCACCACTCCTGGCTAATTTTTTTTTTTGTATTTTTACCAGAGACGGGGTTTCACCATGTTAACCAGGATGGTCTCCATCTCCTGACCTTGTGATCTGCCCGCCTGGGCCTCCCAAGTGCTGGGATTACAGGTCTGAGCCACCACGACCGGCCTGAAGACCCTAATTTTTACATCCCTCATTTGTCTTTTGCTAGAAAGGGCACAGATTTGTGCATGGATACACTATGGGACAGAACTATGGAAAAGCTGAGGATGGAGATACATAGTCTTCTCTTTCCTGGAACATATTACTGGTTTAGGGAAATATTTGAAATTGGAAAGTTCCAGAAAATCTGGGATGCATGGTTACCACAAACGGATGAGGGACTGACTATATAATCATAAGAACCAAAGCTAATCAGGATGGCCAAAAGTCCTTGTGTTCTTTCTTCAGTTTTGTGGCCCAGTTAGAAGGTATATCTTCCTTTCCCAAGCTCACCTGGGGTGGCAACACGTCAAGCCATCTTTACTCACATATTTAATGGTTTGCCTCCAACTATCCAGAAGTTATTTATTTATTTATTTATTTATTTATATTTTTATAGAGACAGGGTCTCCCTATGTTCTCCAGCTGGTCTTGAACTCCTGGGCTCAAGCCATCCTCCCACCTCGGCCTCCCAAAGTGCTGGGATTACAAGCATAACCCACCATGCCTTGCCCAGAAGTCCTTTATGTGGTATAACCATCATCGTCTATCTTCCTTTTAGCTTGTAACTTTTTGCTCTAGCTCCAATACAAAAGACTAATTCGTCAATTTGGTAGTCAATGGCATTTATTGAGTGGCCTCTTGGGTGAAACACTGTAGAGAAAATGCTGTATACAACCCTCAGTCCTTGCTCTTTAGGAATTTAGTAGTGTGGTTAGGGAAAAGAGATACAGGAGAAAACTAGGGGCCAGGCACAATGGCTCCCGCCTGTAATCCCAGCACTTTGGAAAGCCAAGTTGGGCAGATTACCTGAGGTCAGGAGTTTGAGACCAGCCTGGCCAACATGGTGAAACCCCATCTCTACTAAAAACACAAAATAATTAGCCAGGCTTGGTGGTGAGTGCCTGTAATCCCAGCTACTCAGGAGCCTGAGGCAGGACACTTGCTTGAACTCAGGAAGCAGAGGTTGAAGTGAGCCAAGATCACGCCATTGCACTCCAGCCTCCAGCCTGGATGACAAGAGAAAGACTCCGTCTCAAACACACACACACACACACACACACACACACACACACACACACACAAAAAGAAAGAAAGAAAAGAAAAAAGAAAAAACTAGGGACCATATTTGAAGGCATAGATGACTCACTTTACTTCTCAATGCCTCTATTTCCTCATTCAAAAATGAAGGAATTTGCCGGGCATGGTGGCATGTACGTGTAATCCCAGCTACTCAGGAGGTTGAGTTACGAGGATGGCTTGAGGCCAGGAGTTCTAGACCAGCCTGTACAACATGACATTTTTTTTTTTTTTGAGACAGATCACCCAGGCTGGGGTGCAGTGGCGCAATCTTAGCTTACTGCAATCTCTGAGAAGGCCATCTCTTAAAAAAAAAAAAAAGAAATAGTAATTTGGCTATGTCTAATTGAGAACCACTAGTCTCCATGATCTCTAAGGTCCCTTTCTGATTTACCGCAGGAATGAATGGAATTAGTTAATAAAGAACACCTCGGCCGGGCACGGTGGCTGACGCCTGTAATCCCAGCACTTTGGGAGGCCGAGGCGGGCAGATGACCTGAGGTCAGGAGTTCGAGAACAGCCTCAACATGGAGAAACCCCGTCTCTACTAAAAATACAAAATTAGCCGGGCATGGTGGTGCATGCCTGTAATCCCAGCTACTCGGGAGGCTGAGGCAGGAGAATTGCTTGAACCTGGGAGGTGGAGGTTGTGGTGAGCCGAGATCCTGCCATTGCACTCCAGCCTGGGCAACAAGAGCGAAACTCCATCTCAAAAAAAAAAAAAAAAAAAAAAAAAAAAAAAAAAAGAACACATTAGGCCAGGTGTGGTGGCTCACGGCTGTAATCCCAGCACTTTAGGAGGCCGAGGTGGGTGGATCACCTGAGGTCAGAAGTTCGAGACCAGCCTGGCCAACATAGTGAAACCCTGTCTCTAATAAAAATACAAAAATTATTCAGGCATGTTAGCACACACCTGTAGTCCCAGCTACTCAAGAGGCTGAGGTAGGCCGGGTGCGGTGGCTCATGCCTTTAATCCCAGCGCTTTGGGAGGCCAAGACGGGCGGATCACGAGGTCAGGAGATCGAGACCATCCTGGCTAACATGGTGAAATACTGTCTCTACTAAAAAAAATAAAAAAAATTAGCCGGGCGTGGTGATGGGCACCTGTAGTCCCAGCTACTAGGGAGGCTGAGGCAGGAGAATGGCGTGAACCCAGGAGGCAGAGCTTGCAGTGAGCGGAGATGGCTCCACTGCACTCCAGCCTGGGAGACAGAGCAAGCCTCCGTCTCAAAAAAAAAAAGAGGCTGAGGCAGGAGAATCGCTCGAACCCAGGAGGCGAAGGGTGCAGTGAGCCAAGATTGCACCGCTGCACTCCAGCCTGGGTGACACAGTAAGACTCTGTCTTAAAAAATAAAAATAGGGCTGGGCGCGGTGGCTCATGCCTGTAATCCCAGCACTTTAGGAGGCCGAGACGGGCGGATCATGAGGTCAGGAGATCGAGACCATCCTGGCTAACACAGTGAAGCCCTGTCTGTACTAAAAATACAAAAAAATTAGCCAGGCATGGCAGTGGGCGCCTGTAGTCCCAGCTACTCGGGAGGCTGAGGCAGGAGAATGGCGTGAACCCGGGAGGCGGGGCTTGCAGTGAGCCGAGATTGCGCCACTGCACTCCCAGTCTGGGCAACAGAGCGAGACTCCGTTTCAAAATAAATAAATAAATAAAAATAAAAATAGGCCAGGCACGGTGGCTCAGGCCTATGATCCCAGCACTTTGGGAGGCCCAGGCGAGCGGATCACTTGAGGTCAGGAGTTCGAGACCAGCCTGGCCAACATGGTGAAACCCCATCTCTACCAAAAGTACAAAAATTAGCCAGGCTTGGTGGTGAGCACCTGTAATCCCAGCTACTCAGGAGGCTGAGGCAGGAGAATTGTTTGAACCCAGGAGGTGAAGATTGCAGTGAGCCCAGATCGCACCACTGCACTCCAGCCTGGGTGACAAGAGTGATACTCCATCTCAAAATAAATACATAAATAAATAAATTAAATAAAAAGAACACATTAATATGTTAAACAAGAAAAATCAATCAGGCGTGATGGCTCATGCCTGTAATCCCAGCACTTCAGGAGGCTGAGGCAGGTGGATCACCTGAGGTCAGGAGTTCGAGACCAGCCCGGCCAACATTGCAAAACCCCATCTCTACTAAAAACACAAAAATTAGCTGGGCATGGTGGCAGGCACCTGTAATCCCAGCTAATCTTCTCAAGGAGAATCGCTTGAACCTGGGAGGCAGAGGTTGCAGTGAGCTGAGATCACACCACTGCACTCCAGCCTGGGGGATAGAGCGAGACTCCATCTCCAAAAAAAATAAATAAATAAAAGAAAAGAAAAATCATATCATCAATTCAATGGATGCTAAGAAGACATTTGACAAAAGTCAAGATGGCTATTCTTAATGAAACTCATTTAAAAAAACAGTATTCAACAAATGAGAGAGATTACCATTTTAGGATCCTTCTTTGAAGGTGAAATATGTTTTATTTTATTTTCTTTTTTTTTTGAGACGGAGTTTCACTCTTTTTGCCCAGGCTGGAGTGCAATGGCGTGATCTCGGCTCACCACAACCTCCACCTCCTGGGTTCAAGCGATTCTTCTGCCTCAGCCTCCTGAGTAGCTGGGATTACAGGCATGTGCCACCACGCCTGGCTAATTTTGTATTTTTAGTAGAGATGGGGTTTCTCCATGTAGGTCAGGCTGGACTCAAACTCCCGACCTCAGGTGATTCACCCGCCTCGGCCTCCCAAAGCGTTGGGATTACAGGCGTGAGCCACGTCGCCCAGCCTGAAATGTGTTTTCTTAGAGTTGGTGGGAGCGAGGGATAAGAAGGTGGGCAGGGAGGCCGGGCGCGGTGGTTCACGCCTGTAATCCCAGCAGTTTGGGAGGCCGAGGCGGGCGGATCACGAGGTCAGGAGATCGAGACCATCCTGGCTAACACGGAGAAACCCCGTCTCTACTAAAAGTACAAAAAAATTAGCCGGGTGTGGTGGCGGGCGCCTGTAGTCCCAGCGACCCGGGAGGCTGAGGCAGGAGAATGGCGTGAACCCAGGAGGCGGAGCTTGCAGTGGGTGGGGGCCTGATTCTTTTTTTTTTTTTTTTTTTTTGAGACGGAGTCTCTCTCTGTCGCCCAGGCTGGAGTGCAGTGGCGGAATCTCTGCCAACTGCAAATTCCGCCTCCCGGGTTCAAGCAATTCTCCTGCCTCAGCCTCCCGAGTAGCTGGGACTACAGCGGTGCGCCACCACGCCCAGCTAATTTTTGTATTTTTTTTAGTAGAGATGAGGTTTCACCATGTTGGCCAGGATGGTCTCGATTTCTTGACCTCGTGATACGCCCGCCTCGGCCTCCCAAAATGCTGAGATTACAGGCATGAGCCATCGCGCCCGGCCCTTTTTTGTTTTGTTTTGTTTTTCTTTGAGAGGGAGTTTTGCTCTCGTTGCCCAGGCTGGAATGCAGTAGCACCATCTCAGCTCACTGCAACCTCCACCTCCCGGGTTCAAGCTATTCTCCTGCCTCAGCCTCCTGAATAGCTGAGATGACAGGCGCGCGCCACCATGCCCAGCTAATTTTTTTCCGTATTTTTAGTAGAGACGTGGGTTTCGCCATGTTGGTCTCGAACTCTTGGCCTCAGATGATCCGCCCGCCTCGGGCTCCCAAAGTGCTGGGATTACAATCGTGAGCCACCGCGCCGGGACAGCTTTTTGTATTGTTTCTGTCTTGAAGCCCTCATGGTAGAGGTGCGCACCACAATCTTTTCCGAGCTTAGGATCTTTAAGGGTCTTAACTCTATCCAATTCAGCATATTGGAAAACAGGAATGTCAAGGCGTGCTGCAAATGAGAAAGGATTCCACAAAAAGAAAACCCTCAGGGGAAAGGGCAGTGTGCAAAGAGCTTCTTCTACTCTTTTCTAGACAAGACCTTCCCTTGGGTCCACTGCCCTGGAGAATAAGAAAGGCTTGTTACTACCACCAGGTGGCAGAAGTGAGCCGCTCAACAACACCTATCACGGACTGCTTGGGGCTCATGGCTGGAGACAGAGTTTTGGTACCTTTTTTGCAGGGGACAGTGGCAGAGTTGTCAGCGCTTGAGGCAAGGGCTGAGGTGGGAAAAAGTCTCAGAGTTATGGTACTTATTCTATCGTTCCCTACAGTCTTGGTACAGAGAGGGCAAACACAAGGTATCCTGACTCCTAGTTAGAGTTCAGCAAGTGCTGGTCTATTTCTTGCCCCACTAGCCTACCTGATTGCTTTTCACAGACATTTCCTAAGCATTTACTGTGTGCCAGGTATGTGCTAGAAGTGTACAATATAACATTTAACAAGAAGTGTGCAACCTAGTGGAAGAGAGCTTGGTAAACACTACACTTGTATGATACTGAGAGGCAGTTTGAGTAGTGCTTAAGTACACTCCCTTGGAAGTCAGAGTAGGGTGTGAATTAAAGTGCCAACGCTTGCTAGTTGCGCTATCTATCTGAGCCTCAGTCTCCTTGTGTATAAAATGGGGGTAGAAGACCTTCATAGTAGACTAAGATGATATATAAAAATTCACTGCGTAAGGAGAAATACATAAAGGTCATTGCCTGCCACATGGCAGTTATTACAAAGGCCAATGCTGAGGTAGCAGTCCCCAGCTCAGTCTTGAGGAGACTTCCCAGAGAAGGGAACCACAGTGTAGAACTGTGAAGGATGAGTCCGGGCGTGGTGGCTCACACCTGTAATCCCAACACTTTTAGAGGCCAAGGTGGGCGGATTGTTTGAGGTCTGGAGTTTGAGACCAGCCTGATCAACATGGAGAAACCCCATCTCTGCTAAAACCACAAAATTAGGCTAGGCATGGTGGCTCATGCCTGTAATCCCAGCACGTTGGGAGGCTGAGGTGGGTGGATTGCCTGAGGTCAGGAGTTCGAGACCATCCTGGCTAACATGGTAAAACCCCGTCTCTACTAAAAATACAAAAATTGGCCGGATGTGGTGCCTCACGCCTGTAATCCCGGCACTTTGGGAGGCCGAGGCGGGGTGGATCACGAGGTCAAGAAATCGAGACCATCCTGGCCAACATGATAAAACCCCTTCTCTACTAAAAATACAAAAATTAGCTGGGTGTGGTGGCGCGCACCGGTAGTCCCAGCTACTCGGGAGGCTGAGGCAGGAGAATCTCTTGAACCAGGGAGGCAGAGGATGCAGTGAGCCGAGATCGCGCCACTGCACTCCAGCCTGGGCAACAGAGCAAGACTCTGTCTCCAAAAAAAAAATAAGAAGAAATACAAAATTAGCTGGGCGTGGTGGTGCATGCCTGTAATTGCACCTACTTGGGAGACTGAGGCAGGAGAATCTCTGGAACCAGGGAGGCGGAGGGTGCGGTGAGCTGCGATTGTGCCATTGCACTCCAGCCTGGGTAACAAGAGCGAAACTCCATCTCAAAAAAAAAGAACTGTGAAGGATGAATGGCAGATGCATACAGTACGGTGGGGAAAAGGTGGCAGTAGGGGAAAGTGGGCCAGGAGGAGTAAGACAGACAATCTCTGGAGAACATGAATGTACACGCCCTGCTTCACCAGCACAGGGACAGGACAGGCCCAGCTTCCCACAGTGGAGGCTAGCATGGTCTGGATTCTCTCCTCAAATCAACATGCATTTGGTGAATACCTGTCAGGAACTTCTTTCAAGAGTTATAAGAGTTGGCCGGGCACAATGGCTCATGCTTGTAATCCCAGCATTTTTGGGAGGCTGAGGGGGCAGATTACCTGAGGTCAGGAGTTCGAGACCAGCCTGACCAACATGGTAAAACCCCATCTCTACTAAAAATACAAAATTAGCTAGGTATGATGGCACACGACTGTAATCCCAGCTACTCGGGAGGCTGAGGCAGGAGGATCACTTGAACCCGGGGTGCAGAGGTTGCAGTGAGCCGAGATTGCACCATTGCTCTCCAGCCTGGGCAACAAGACCAAAACTCTGTCTCAGAAAAAAAAAAAAAAAAAAAAAAAGTTATAAGAGTTAATGAAGATAAGGCTGGGCGCAGTGGCTCATGCCTATAATGCCTCTGCTTTGGGAGGCCGAGGTAGGTGGATCACCTGAGGTCAGGAGTTTAAGACCAGCCTGGCCAACAAGATGAAACCCCCGTTTCTACTAAAAACATAGAAAAAATTAGCTGGGCATGGTGGCACGTGCCTGTAATCCCAGCTACTCGGGAGGCTGAGGCAGGAGAATCGCTTGAACCCAGGAGGCGGAGGTTGCAGTGAGCCGAGATCGCGGCACTGCACTCCAGCCTGGGCAACAAGAGCAAAAACTCCGTCTCAAAAAGAAAAAAAAAGAGTTAATGAAGATAAATAAAGAGCCGGGAGCTAAGCACAGTGGTGCACACCTATAGTCCCAGCTACTCTGGAGGCAGAGGCAGGGGGAGACCTTGGGCCCAGGAGTTCAAACATGCAGTGATCTATGATAATGTCATTGCACTCCAGCCTGGGTGACAGAGCAAGATGGATGGAAGGAAGCGAGGGAGGGAGGAAGGCAGGAAGGAAGGCAGTGGGGAGGGAGGGAGAAAGGAAGGAAAATAAAAGAAAAGAAAAAACAAAAGAAGAAACAAAAGAAAAGAAGGGCTGGATGTACTGGCACATGCCTATAGTCCCACAGGAGGGTCGCTGGAGTCCAGTTTGAGCCCAGTTCCAGATCAGCTACATGATGAGACCTTTTTTTTTTTTTTTTTTTTGAGATGGGGTCTCATTCTGTCACTGAGGGTGGAGTACAATGGCGTAATCTTGACTCACTGCAACCTCTGCCTCCCAGGCTCAAACAGTCCTCCTACCTCAGCCTCCTGAGTAGCTGAGATCACAGGCGAGCACCACAACACCCGGCTAATTTTTTTGTATTTTTGGTAGAGACTGGGTTTCGCCATGTTGCCCAGGCTAGTCTTAAACTCCTAAACCCAGGTGGTCCACCCACCTCAGCCGCCCAAAGTGCTGGGATTACAGGCGTGAATCACTGCGCCCAATGAGACCCTGTCTTAAGAAAAAAGAAAGAAGAAAAAAAGAGGCTGGGCACAGTGACTCATGCCTGTAATCCCAGCACTTTGGGAGGCTGAGGCGGGTGGATTGCTTGAGTCCAGGAGTTCCAGACCAGCCTTGGCCTCTGGAAGGCTTTGTGAAACCACACCTCAGGTAAAAATACACACAGACACACAAAATTAGCCAGGCGTGATGGCATCCACCTGTAGTCCCAGCTACTTGGGAAGCTTGAGGTGGGAGAGTCACCTGAGCTTGGGGAGACAGTTTGCAGTGAGCTGCCGTCCTACCACTGCACTCAAGGTCTAATCTTTGTTCTCAGAAAGCCCACAGAAACTTAAAAGAAGAAAAAGAAATGAAGAGTTATTGAAAGATGTGGAGTAAGGAGGTGAAATGACCAGGCTTTTATATTAGAATCTTCACCATGAGAAAGTATTACACAGAACTATAAGGTAACATGTTTGAGAATATTCATGACAGCTTTCTGGTTCAAGAAGCTAGTTCTTGGCCAGGCGTGGTGGCTTCACACCAGTAATCTCAGCACTTTCGGAGGCTGAGGTGGGTGGATCACCTGAGGACAGGAGTTTGAGACCAGCCTGGCCAACATGGTGAAACACCATCTCTACTAAAAATATAAAAACTAGCCGGGCTTGGTGGTGGGTGCCTGTAATCCCAGCTACTTGGGAAGCTGAGGCAGGAGAACTGCTTGAACCCAGGAGATGGAGGTTGCAGTGAGCCAACACGGTGCCACTGAACTCCAGCCTGGGCAACAGAGTAAGACTATGTCTCAAAAAGTAATAATAATAATAAAAAAGTTAAAAAGAAGCTAGTTCTCCATCTTGCAGGGAATACTATGCATAAGTTAGAAGTGATAAACTAGGCCATGTGCAGTGGCTCACACCTGCAATTCTAGCATTCCAGCACTTTGGGAGGCTGAGGCAGGAGGATTGCTTGAAGCCAGTAGTTAGAGACCAGCCTGCTCAACATAGCAGGACCCCATCTCTACGATAAAAAATAAAATAAATGGGCCGGGCGCAGTGGCTCATGACTGTAATCCCAGCACTTTGGGAGGCTGAGGGAGGCAGATCACCTGAGGTCAGGAGTTTGAGACCAGCCTGGCCAACATGGCGAAACCCCATCTCTACTAAAAATACAAAAATCAGCCGGGTGTGGTGATGGGTGCCTGTAATCCCAGCTACTTGGGAGGCTGAGACAGGAGAATCGCTTGAACCTGGGAGGTGGAGGTTGCAATGAGCCGAGATCGTGCCATTACACTCCAGCCTGGGCGAGAAGAGCAAGATGCCGTCTCAAAAAAACAAAAAACAAAAAACAAAAACAAAAACAAACAAACAAATAAAATAAATGAAGTGATAAACTAGATATACCTGTAGAAACATGTATAAATCTTTTTTTTGCTGGATGAAACTTTTTTTTTTGAGACGGAGTCAAGTCTTGCTCTGTCACAAGGCTGGAGTGCAGTGGCGCGATCTCAGCTCACTGCAACCTCCACCTCCCGGGTTCAAGTTATTCTCCTACCTCAGCCTCTCGAGTAGCTGGGACTATAGGCAGCATGTGCCACCACGCCCAGCTGATTTTTGTATTTTTAGTAGAGACAAGGTTTCACCATGTTAGCCAGGATGGTCTCAATCTCTTGACCTCATGATCGGCCCCCCTCAGCCTCCCAAAGTGCTGGGATTACAGGCATGAGCCCCAACAACCAACTGAAACACTTTATTTTATTTTTAATTTAATTTAATTTTTATTTTTGTATTTTTAGTAGAGAAGGGGTTTCACCATGGTCTCGATCTCCTGACCTCGTGATCCGCCCGCCTCAGCCTCCCAAAGTGCTGGGATTACAAGGGTAAGCCACTGCGCCTGGCCTTTATTTTTATTTTTTTGAGACGGAGTCTCACTCTGTCACCCAGGCTGGAATACGGTGGCCCAATCTCAGCTCACTGCAAGCTCCGCCTCCCGGGTTCACGCCATTCTCCTGCCTCAGCCTCCCAAGTAGCTGGGACTACAGGCATCAGCCACCTCGCCCCTCTAATGACCAGCATTAAAACAGAGATCTTGGCCAGGCACAGTGGTTCACGCACGTAATCCCAGCACTTTGGGAGGCCGAGGCGGGTGGATCACCTGAGGTCAGGAGTTGGAGACCAGCCTGACCAAGATGGAGAAACCCTGTCTCTAC
The DNA here is from genome assembly GCF_000001405.40 of Homo sapiens. Lineage (NCBI taxonomy): Eukaryota > Metazoa > Chordata > Mammalia > Primates > Hominidae > Homo > Homo sapiens. Next base: position 81,750 of record NW_025791795.1, read on the forward strand.
TAAAAATATAAAATTAGCCGGGTGAGGTGGCACATGCCTGTAATCTCAGCTACTCGGCAGGTTGAGGCAGGAGAATTGCTGGAACCTGGGAGACGGAGGTTGTGTAGGCCAGGCACAGTGGCTCACGCCTATAATCCCATCACTTTGGGAGGCTGAGGCAGGCAGATCACCTGAGGTCAGGAGTTCAAGACCAGCCTGGCCAACATGGTGACCCCATTCTCTACAAAAATACAAAAATTAGCCAGGCATGATGGCAGGTGCCTGTAATCCCAGCTACATGGGTGGCTGAGGCAGGAGAATCACGTGAACCCGGGAGACAGAGGCTGCCTCGAGCCGAGATCAAGCCATTGTACTCTAGCCTGAGTGACAAAGTGAGACTCTGTCTCAAAAAACAGAAAAAGGCAGGGCGTGGTGGTTCACGCCTGTTTAATCCCAGCACTTTGGGAGGCCGAGGTGGGTGAATTACCTGAGGTCGGGAGTTCAAGACTAGCCTGACCAACATGGAGAAACCCTGTCTCTACTAAAAATATAAAATTAGCCACGTGAGGTGGTACATGCCTGTAATCCCAGCTACTCGGCCGCTTGAGGCAGGAGAATCGCTTGAACCCGGGAGGCGGAGGTTGCGGTGAGCCAAGATCATGCCACTGCACTCCAGCCTGGGCAACAAGAGCGAAACTCCGTCAAAAAAAAAAAAAAATTAGCTGTGTGTGGTGTCACCTGCCTATGGTCCCAGCTACTGGGGAGGCTGAGGCAGGAAGATCACTTGAGTCTGGGAGGTTGAGGCTGCAGTGAATCATGATTGCACCACTGCACTCCAGCCTGGGCGACAGAGCAAGACCGTCTCAAAAAAAGAAAGAAACATTTAACAGGGACTTACAAACAGAAGCCCTGTTTGTATCTCTGGCAGTGGTGAGACAAGACAGTGTATCCCTGTGCCATTAATCTCCAGATCCAGAATTTATATACCATAGGGAAGGAATGTGTAGGACAATTGAAGTCGACCTCTATGGGAAAGGCAAGAATGTTCTGTGAATCTGCCTAAGGGCAAGATTCATGGTCAAGGTGGTCTTGACCTAAGGGCAGGATTTATGATAAGTATATGCTCTTACCCAAAGATCAGTAGATAAAATAAAAATTTTAGAGGCATTCCTGGAGCTGGGGTTATTCAGAAGTCAACATAGCAGATTAACATCCAAGATGGAGTTGCTTCAGCCTCCATTCTGTAAAACTCTAGAAAAAAATAAATCTAGGGGCCAGGCACAGTGGCTCATGCCTATAATCCCAGCACTTTGGTAGGCCGAGGCGGGTGGATCATGATGTAAAGAGATTGAGACCATCCTGGACTCCATCTCAATTAAAAAAAAAAAAAAATTAGCTGAGCGTGGTGGCAGGCAACAAGAACAAAACTCCTGTCAAAAAACAAAACAAAACAACAACAACACCTGCAGCGTGTGTAGAATTTAAAAAAAGACAATCCATAGGGAGAAAATATTTGTCATATTTTAAACAAATAATTAATATCTAATACACATAACAAGCTTCTTTAAGTCAAACAATGCAATACAAAAATATAGCCTGAGCCAGGCGCGGTGGCTCACGCCTGTAATTCCAGCATTTTGGGAGGCCGAGGTCGGTTGATCACTTGAGGTTGGTAGTTCAAGACCAGCCTGACCAACATGGAGAAACCCTGTCTCTACTAAAAAATATAAAATTAGACGGGCATGGTGGCACATGCCTCTAATCCCAGATGCTCGGGAGGCTGAGGCAGGAGAATCACTTGAACCTGTGAGGCAGAGGTTGCTGAGCCGAGATTGCACCATTGCACTCCAGCCTGGGCAACAAGAGTGAAACTCCATCTCAAAAAAAAAAATGTAGGCTGAGCACAGACCCTGTCTCTACAAAAAATAAAAACAGTTGGCTGGGCACTCGCAGTGGCTCATGTCTGTAATCTCAGCACTTTGGGAGGCCAAGGCAGAAATATCATGAGTCCAGGAGTTTGAGTCCAGCTTGGGCAACGTATTGGGACTCCATCTCTAGAAAAAATTTTAAAAATTAGCTGGGTGTGGTAGTCTGCGCCTGTAGTCCCAGCTACTTAGGAAGTTGAGAGAGAAAGATCACTTGAGCCCAGGAGGTGGAGGCTGCAGTGAACCATGACTGTACCACTGCATTCCAGCCTGGATGACACCTAAGACCCTGTCTCAAAAATTTATTTTAAGGTTGGGCAAGGTGGCTTATGCCTATAATCCCAGCACGTTGGGAGGCCAAGGCAGGAGGATCCCTTCAGCCCAGGAGTTCAAAACCAGCCTGGAAAACATAGTGGGACCTTTTCTCTACAAAAAAAAAAAAATTAGCCTGGTATGGTGACAGGCACCCATGGTCCCAGCTACTTGGGAGGCTGAGGCAAGAGGATTGCTTGAGCCCAGGAGGTGGAGGCTGCAATGAGCTGAGATCCCGTGACTGCACTCCAGGCTGGGTGACAGTGAGACCGTATCTCAAAAACAAAAACAAACAAATTATTTATTTTTGTTTGTTTTTGTTTTTATTTATTTTTTGTTTTGTTTCTGTTTTAAGACAAAAGCCCTGTCGCCCATGCTAAAGTACAGTGGTACAATCTGGGCTCACTGCAACCTCTGTCTCCCAAATTCAAGCGACCCTCCCACATCAGCCTCTGGAGTGGCTTGGGACTTCAGGTGTGCAGCACCATGCCCAGTTAAAAAAAAAAATTTCTTTTTAATAAAAATAAAAATATGGCCGGGCTCAGTGGCTCATGTTTGTAAGCATAGCACTTTGGAAGGCCAAGGCAGGTGGAATGATTGAGCCCAGGAGTTCAAGACCAGCCTGGTAACATGGCAAAACCTCTTCTCTACAAAAAATACCGATGATTGAGCCACTGCACTCCAGCCTGGGCGACAGAGTGAGACCCTGTCACAGAAATAACTGAAATTCACGCCTGTAATCCCAGCACTTTGGGAGGTCGAGGCGGGCGGATCATGAGGTCAAGAGATCAAGATCATCCTGGCCAACATGGTGAAACCCCGTCTCTCCTAAAAATACAAAAATTAGCTGGGCATGGTGGTGCACGCCTGTAATCCCAGCTACTTGGGAGGCTGAGGCAGGAGAATTGCTTGAACCCGGGAGGTGGAGATTGCAGTGAGCCAAGATCATGCCACTACATTCCAACCTGGTGACAGAGCAAGACTCTGTTTCAAAAAGAAAAAAAAAAAGAAAAGAATTTGTTGGGCACGGGGGCTCATGCCTATAATCCCAGCACTTTGGGAGGCCGTCCAGGCAGATCACAAGGTCAGGAGTTTGAGACCAGCCTGGCCAATATGGTAAAACCCCGTCTCTACTAAAAATACAAAAATTAGCCAGGTGTGGTGGTGAGCGCCTGTAGTCCCAGCTACTCGGGAGTCTGAGGCAGAAGAATCACTTGAACCCGGGACGGGGAGGTTGCAGTGAGGCGAGATCATGCCACTGCACTCCAGCCTGGGCAACAGAGCTAGACATTGTCTTAAAAAAATAAATAAATAGGCTGGGTGTGGTGGCTCATGCCTGTAATCCCAGCACTTTGGGAGGCCAAGGCGGGCGGATCACAAGGTCAAGAGATTGAGACCATCCTGGCCAATGTGGTGAAACCCCGTCTCTACTAAAAACACAAAAATTAGCTGGGCATGGTGGCACACGCCTATAGTCCCAGCTACTCAGGAGGTTGAAGCAGGAGAATCACTTGAACCCAGGAGGCGGAGATTGCAGTGAGCCGAGATCACATCACTGCACTCCAGCCTGGCGACAGAGCGAGACTCCATCTCAAAATAAATAAATAAATAAATAAATAAATAAATAAATAAATAAGCTTGGATGTGAACCTTGACCTGTGGCTCCACCACCCAGATTCACTTCACTCCACTGTGTGTTTTTTATTTTTTTATTTTTTTGAGACGGAGTCTCACTCTGTCGCCAGGTTGGAGTGCAGTGGCACGATCTCAGCTCACTGAAACCTCCACCTCCCATGTTCAATCGATTCTCTTGCCTCAGCCTCCCAAGTAGCTGGGATTACAGGTACCCACCACCACTCCCAGCTAATTTTTGTATTTTTAATGGAGATGGGGTTTCGCTATGTTGGCCAGGCTGGTCTCGAACTCCTGACCTCAGGTGATCCACCCACCTCGGCCTCTCAAAGTGCTGGGATTACAGGCATAAGCCACCTTGTCAAGCCTCCACTGTGTGTATAAAGGTACAGACTAGTAAGTGCAACAAAGTGTTAACAGCTGCATGCTTAAAGACAGTAGAGGTTGCAATGGGGGCTCCTGGAGTAGTGTGGCCAATTCAAAAAGAAAAGGGATGTTTTTGGAAAGGACTCCAGAGCTGAAGCTTAATCTAAGACTTGAAAGGTGAGTTCTTCCCAGCACTTTGGGAGGCTGAGGTGGGCAGATCACCTGAGGTCGGGAGTTCGAGACTAGCCTGACCAACATGGAGAAACCCCGTCTCTACTAAAAATACAAAATTTATCAGCCGGGTGCAGTGGCTTACGCCTGTAATCCCAGCACTTTGGGAGGCTGAGGTGGGTGGATCACGAGGTCAGAAGATCGAGAATATCCTGGCTAACCGATGAAACCCCGTCTCTACTAAAAATACAAAAAAATTAGCCGGGTATGGTGGCAGGTGCCTGTAGTCCCAGCTACTCGGGAGGCTGAGGCAGGAGAATGGCACGAACCCAGGAGGTGGAGCTTGCAGTGAGCTGAGATCGCGCCACTGCACTCCAGCCTGGGCTACAGAGCGAAACTCCACCTCAAAGAAAAAAAAAAAAAGAAAAAAAAAAGGTGAGTTCTTGACCTACAGGAGAAGGGCACTCCAGAAGGGCAACCTGTGTGTGTATCAGTGCAATGTCACAGAGGAAGGTACTTGGTCTTTTTTTTTTTTTTTTAAGAGATGGAGTCTCACTCTGTTGCCAGGCTCGAGTGCAGTGGTGCTATCTCAGCTCACTGCAACCTCTGCCTTTCGGGTTCAAGCAATTCCCCTGCCTCAGCCTCCCGAGTAGCTGGGACTACAGGTGTGTACCACCATGCCCGGCTAATTTTTTGTATATTTAGTAGAGACAGGGTTTCACCATGTTGGCCAGGATGGTCTCGACCTCCTGACTTCATGATCCACCCGCCTTGGCCTCTCAAAGTGCTAGGATTACAGGCGTGAGCCACCGCACCCGGCTGGCACTTGGCCTATTTTGTGACTGATAAGTAGTTGAGTGGGCATGACTAAGAATTCTTCTCACACCTCTAGGTGACAGGTAGGGCCTGGAAAGACTTTTATTTTTATTTATTTATTTTTGAGACCAGAGTCTTGCTCTGTTGCCCAGGCTGGAGCGCAGTGGTGCAATCTCAGCTCACTGCAACCTCCGCCTCCCAGGTTCAAGCAATTCTCCTGCCTCGGCCTCCTGAGTAGCTGGGACTACAGGTTCCTGCCACCACGCCTGGCTAATTTTTGTATTTTTAGTAGAGACGGGGTTTCACCATATTGGCTAGGCTGGTCTCAAACTCTTGACCTTGTGATCTGCCTGCCTCAGCCTCCCAAAGTGCTGGGATTACAGGCGTGAGCCACGGCACCCAGCCAAAAGATTTTATTTGTTTGTTTGTTTGTTTGTTTTGTTTTGAAGACAGAGTCTAGCTCTATCCCCCAGGGTGGAGTGCAGTGGCACAATCTCACCTCACTGCAACCACCGCCCCCTGGGTTCAAGGGATTCTCCTGCCTCAGCCTCCCCAGTAGCTGGGATTACAGGCACCCGCCACCACGCCCGGCTAATTTTTGTATTTTTAGCAGAGACAGGGTTTCACCATGTTGACTGGGCTGGTCTCGAACTCCTGACCTCAAGTGATCTGCCCGCCCTGGTCTCACAAAGTGTTGGGATTACAGGTGTCAGCCACTGCACCCGATCTTGATTTCATGTATACCATATGATGAAGTCTATGTTCAGGTGTTCAGTAAGAGTCCCTGAGGCCACAATATGGTGCCTATTTTGATGAAGATCAACCGGGAGACAAGGAATCTGTTAAATGCATGTATAGTAGCAATGCAAGTAAGCAATGAGGGGGTTGGGGCTTGTGGATAACTAAAGCAGTGACTAGAGGTACGGAGAGAGTGGAAGAGTTGGGTCTGAAAGATATTCGTGGAATAAAATGGATGGAACTTTTTTTTCTTTTCTCTTTTTTTTTTTTTTGAGACGGAGTCTCACTCTGTCACCCAGGCTGGAGTGCAGTGGCACGATCTTGGCTCACTGCAAGCTCTGCCTCCCGGGTTCCTGCCATTCTCCTGCCTCAGCCTCCCGAATAGCTGGGACTACAGGTGCCTGCCACCACACCCAGCTAATTTTTTTTTTTTTTTTTAAGACAGAGTCTCAGTCTGTCACCCAGGCTTGAGTGCAGTGGCGTGATCTCAGCTGACTGCAACCTCTGCTGCCCAGGTTCAAGCAATTCTCCTGCCTCAGTCTCCTGAGTAGCTGAGATTACGGGCAACTGCCACTGCATCCGGCTCATTTTTGTATTTTTAGTAGAGATGGGGTTTTACCATATTGGTCAGGCTAGTCTTGAACTCCTGACCTCATGATCCACCCGCCTCGGCCTCCCAAATTGCTGGGATTACAGGCGTGAGCCACCGCGCCCGGCCGCCGGCTAAATTTTTTGTATTTTTAGTAGAGACAGGGTTTCACTGCATTAGCCAGGATGGTCTCGATCTGACCTTGTGATCCGCCTGCCTCGGCCTCCCAAAGTGCTGGGATTACAGGCATGAGCCACTGCGCCTGGCCTCCTTTTTCTTTTTTAGACAAAGTCTCACTCACTGTTGCCCAGGCTGGAGTGCAGGGGCGCCATCTCAGCTCACTGCAACCTCCACCTCCCCGTTCAGCGATTCTCCTGCCTCAGCCTCCTGAGTAGCTGGAACTACGGGCACATGCCACCACGCCTTGCTAATTTTTGTATTTTTATTATGGACAAGGTTTCACCATGTTGCCCAGGCTAGTCTCTAACCCCTTGGCTCAAGTGATCTGCCTGCCTTGGCCTCTCAAAGTGCTGGAATTACAGGCATGAGCCACCACGCCCAGCCTTCTTTTATTTTATTATTTTGTTTTATTTTAAATTGATGAGATTTGATGACTAATTACATATCAAATCTCATTCCATATCCCCTGTGACAGGGGATGATGAAAGTTTGAGAGGGAGAGAGTAGAAGTTTGTTGGGGAGTAAACTAGACAGAAGTTCCCTGAAAAAGGGATAACTTGTGTATGTATGTCCTTCATTGCAAGTAGGACAGTATATTATAATAACCTGTGTATGCATCTGCTTCCTCTAGCAGGCCATGAGTCAGGGCCATATCTCATCCCCCTCATCTTTCCCAGTGTCTAGCACACTGTCTTGCACACAGCATGTTCAACACTGATGAAAGAACATCAGTAAAGAGTGGCCTTAGTCTGGGGTGGGAGTAAGAAGAGCAGAGAATGGTGGGGGTGTAAATAATCACACGAGTTGGAAGATAGGAAGTTCTCCAGGCTACTCCCTCCCTCCTCAGCCTTAGTCAAAAGTCTGACCCATGGAGGATTGCTCAATTTTCTCTGAGTCCTTTCCTTCTCTGGACTAGCCACACAGTGTGATAGATGCTGATTAGCTGGGACATGGATGTCTTCAGTATGAGGGAGAAGGTCTCACCCAAATTCTACTACTACTGCCCAGAAACCATCCTATTTTTTTTTTTTTTTTTTTTTTTTGAGATGTAGTTTCACCATTGTTGCCCAGGCTGGAGTGCAATGGCACAATCTCGGCTCACCGCAACCTCTGCCTCCCGGGTTCAAGTGATTCTCCTGCCTCAGCCTCCTGTGTAGCTGGGATTACAGGTGCCTGACACCATGCCCAGCTAACTTTTTGTGTTTTTAGTAGAGGCGGGGTGTCACCATGTTGGTCAGGCTGGTTTCAAACTCCTGACCTCAGATGATTCACCTGCCTTGGCCTCCCAAAGTGCTGGGATTACAGGCGTGAGCCACCGCGCCCAGGCCAGAAACTGATTCTAAAAAGGCACTGTGTGGGAGAAGCTCGGACTTCTACTTCCCTTCTCTAAACCACTAAGCCTTGAGATATATGGCAAAAGGTGACATGTCCTTGGCCCTGTGCCACAGGCTCATTTGGCAAGGGGAAAAGAGAAAAAAGCAGCTGAGAAAGTGCTGAACTCCAGCAAAAAGGAAAGGAGGCCATGGGCCTGAGGCTTGTGATGTGAAAGGAGAAAGGAGCCAGTGGGGATTTGTACTGTTACGATTATTATTATTTAATTTAAAAATTCTGGGCCGGGCACGGTGGCTCACGCTTGTAATCCCAGCACTTTGGGAGGCCGAAGCAGGTGGATCACGAGGTCAGGAGATCCAGACCATCCTGGCTAACACGTTGAAACCCGGTCTCTACAAAAAATACAAAAAATTAGCCGGGCGCGACGGCGGGCGCCTGTAGTCCCAGCTACTCCGGAGGCTGAGGCAGGAGAATGGCGTGAACCCGGGAGGCGGAGCTTGCAGTGAGCCGAGATCACGCCACTGCACTCCAGCCTGGGCTAAAGAGAGAGATTCCGTCTCAAAAAAAAAAAAAAATTTGGCTAGGCGTGGTGGCTCAGACCTGTAATCCCAGCACTTTGGGAGGCTGAGGCAGAAAGATGGCTTGAGCCCAGGAGTGCATGGCTGTAGTGAGCTATGATCATGACACTGCACTCTGGCCTGGGTGACAGAACGAGACTGTCTTAAAAATTTTTTTAAATGGGTTGGGCGCGGTAGCCGACGCCTGTAATCCTAGCACTCTGGGAGGCCGAGGCTGGCAGATTGCCTGCGCTCAGGAGTTCAAAACCAGCCTGGGCAACACAGTGAAACCCTATCTCTACTAAAATACAAAAAATTAGCCGGGCGTGGTGGCATGCACATGTAGTCCCAGCTACTAGGGAGGCTGAGGCACGAGAATTGCTTGAACCCAGGAGATGGAGGTTGCAGTGAGCTGAGATCGTGCCACTGCACTCCAGCCTGGGCGACAGAGCAAGACTCATCTCCAAAAAAAGAAAAAAAAAATTGAAAATGGCTGGGTGCAATAGCTCATACCTGTAATCCCAGTACTTTGGGAGGCTGAGGTGGGCGGATTACCTGAGGTCAGGAGTTTGAGACAAGCCTGGTCAACATGGTGAAACCCTATCTCTACAAAAAAATACAAAAATTCACCCAGCATGGTGGTACGCACCTGTAGTTCCAGCTACTCAGGAAGCTGAGGTAGGAGAATGCCTTGAACCTGTGAGGTAGAGGTTGCAGTGAACCGAGATGGTGCCACTGCACTCCAGCCTGGGTGACAGAGTGAAACTCTGCCTCAAAAAATAAAAATTAAGGCCAGGCGCAGTGGCTCACGCCTGTAATCCCAGCACTTTGGGAGGCTGAGGTGGGCGGATCACCTGAGGTCAGGAGTTCGAGACCAGCCTCAACATGGAGAAACCCCCATCTCTAGTAAAAATACAAAATTAGCCGGGCGTGGTGGTGCATGCCTGTAATCCCAGCTACTCGGGAGGCTGAGGCAGGAGAATTGCTTGAACCTGGGAGGCCGAGGTTGCGGTGAGCCGAGATCGCGTCATTGCACTCCAGCCTGGGCAACAAGAACGAAACTCTGTCTCAAAAAAAAAAAAATAAATAAAATAAAATAAAAAATTTAAAAAGTAAATAATAAATAAATAATAAAAAATAAAACTAGGGGCCAGGCGCAGTGGCTCACGCCTGTAATCCCAGCACTTTGGGAGGCTGAGGCAGGTGGATCACGAGGTCAGGAGTTCAAGCCCAGCCTGGCCAAGATGGTGAAACCCCATTTCTACTAAAAATACAAAAATTAGCCAGGTGTGGTGGTGGGTGCCTGTAATCCCAGCTACTAGGGAGGATGAGACAGAGAATTGCTTGAACCCAGGAGGGGGAGGTGGCAGTGAGCCAAGAATGTGCCACTGCACTCCAGCCTGGGTGACAGAGCGAGACTCCGTCTCAAAAAAAAAAAAAATTGAAGTTAAATAAAACTAATACAGTTGGGGCCAGGCATGGCAGTTCACGCCTCTAACTTTAGTACTTTGGGAGGCCAAGGCAGGAGGATATCGAGGCCAGGAGTTGAAGACCAGCCGCAGGGCAACAGAGTCAGACCTCATCTCTACAAAACTTAGAAAAATTAGCCGAGTGCAGCCGGGCGCAGCGGCTCAAGCCTGGAATCCCAGCACTTTGGGAGGCCGAGGTGGGCAGATCACGAAGTCAGGAGATCAAGACCATCCTGGCTAACACAGTGAAACCCCACCTCTATTAAAAATACAAAAAATTAGCCGGGCATGGTGGTGGGTGCCTGTGGTCCCAGCTGCTCAGGAGGCTGAGGCAGGAGAATGGCGTGAACCCGGGAGGTGGAGCTTGCAGTGAGCTGAGATCACGCCACCCCACTCCAGCCTGGGTGACAGAGTGAGACTCCATCTCAAAAAAAGAAAAAGAAAAATTAGCTGAGTGCAGGGGCGAGTGCCTGTAGTCTCAGCTAGTTAGGAGACTGAGGTGTGAGGATCACTTGAGCCCAGAAGTTGGAGGCTGCAGTGAGCTATGATCATGCAACTGCACTCCAGCCTGAGTGACAAAGTGAGATCCTGTCTCAGAAAAAAAAAAAATTGAAAAATTTAACCATTTGTACTGTTAAAAAATCATTTAGGGCTGGCTGGGCGCAGTGGCTCACGCTTGTAATCCCAGCACTTTGGGAGGCCGAGGCGGGTGGATCTCGAGGTCAGGAGTGTGAGACCAGCCTGACCAACATGAAGAAACCCGTCTCTACTAAAAATACAAAATTAGTCAGGTGTGGTGGCACATGCCTGTAATCCCAGCTACTCGGGAGGCTGAGGCAGAAGAATCACTTGAACCCGGGAAGCAGAGGATGCAGTTAACCCAAGGTTGCGCCATTGCACTCCAGCCTGGGCAACAAGAGTGAAACTCCATCTCAAAAAAAAAAAAAGGTGAGTTTTTTTGGTTTTGTTTTGCTTCGTTTTTTGTTTGTTTGTTTGTTTGTTTGTTTTTGAGACAGAGTCTGGCTCTGTCGCCCAGACTGGAGTGCAGTGGCGCGATCTCGGCTCATTGCAAGCTCCGCCTCCCGGGTTCAGGCCATTATCCTGCCTCAGCCTGCCAAGTAGCTGGGACCACGCCCGGCTAATTTTTTTTTGTATTTTTAGTAGAGATGGGGTTTCACCGTGTTAGCCAGGATGGTCTTGATCTCCTGACCTCGTGATCTGCCCGCCTTGGCCTCCCAAAGTGCTGGGATTACAAGTGTGAGCCACCGCACCCGGCCGGTGAGTTCTTGACCTGTGGCAGAAGGGCATTCTAGAAGACCACAACTGTGTGTGTATTAGTGCAATGTCACAGAGGAAGACACTTGGCTTTTTTTTTTTTTAAGACGGAGTTTCACTCTGTCGCCAGGCTTGAGTTCAGTGGCGTGATCTCAGCTCATGCAGCCTACACCTCCTGGGTTCAAGAGATTCCCCTGCCTCAGCCTCCTGAATAGCTGGGACTACAGGTGTGCACCACCACACCCGGCTAATGTTTCGTGTTTTTAGTAGAGACGGGGAAACTCCGTCTAAAAAAAAAATAAATAAATCATTTAAGGCCGGGCGCGGTGGCCCACGCCTGTAATCCCAGCACTTTGGGAGGCTGAGGCGGGCAGATCATGAGGTCAAGAGATGGAGACCATCCTGGCCAACATGGTGAAACACCGTCTCTAGCATGGCAACAGAGGGAGACTCCGTCTCAAAAAAAAATTATAATAATAATCATTTAGGCCGGGCACAGTGGCTCACGCCTGTAATCCCAGCACTTTGGGAGCCCGAGGCAGGCGGATCACGAGGTCAGGAGATCAAGACCATCCTGGCTAACATGGTGAAACCCCGTCTCTACTAAAAATACAAAAAAATTAGCCGCGCCTGGTGGCAGGCGCCTGTAGTCCCAGCTACTGGGAGGCTGAGGCAGGAGAATGGCGTGAATCCGGGAGGCGGAGCTTGCAGTGAGCCGAGATCGCGCCACTGGACTCCAGCCTGGGCGACAGAGCCAGACTCCATCTCAAAAAAATAAATAAATAAAATAATAATAATAATCATTTAAATCAGAAGAGAAGAAAATGAACCTAGAACACCCATCATCTGAACTTAGCAATTATTATTATTATTATTATTATTATTATTATTATTATTATTATTTTGAGACGGAGTTTCACTCTTGTTGCCCAGGCTGGAGTGCAATGGCGAGATCTCGGCTTACCGCAAACTCCGCCTTCTGGACTCAAGCGATTCTCCTGCCTCAGAGTCTCCAGAGTAGCTGGGTCTACAGGCACGTGCCACCTCACCCGGCTAATTTATTTTAGTAGAGAGGGGGTTTTGTCCTGTCAAGCGTGGTGGCTCACTCCTGTAATCTCAGCACTTTGGGAGCCCAAGGTGGGCGGATCACTTGAGCTCAGGAGTTCAAGACTAGCCTGGCCAACTTGGTGAAACCCTATCTCTATTAAAGATACAACAATTAGCAGGGCATGGTGCCTCACGCCTGTAATCCCAGCTACTCCAGAGGCTGAGACAGGAGAATTGCTTGAGCCCGGGAGGCAGAGGTAGCAAGGAGCCAAGATCGTGTCACTGCACTCCAGCCTGGTCAACAGAGCAAGACTCTGTCTCAAAATAAATAAATAAGTAAATAAATTCCACCAGTGGTCACTGCACACTTAGGGAAATGCTAAAGAAGTAGAATTGTAGTCAGGGAGTCCTGCCTCACCTGCCTTGAGACCTTGATCGGGCACACTTCTCAAGCTCTGTTTATTTCCTACCTTTGGAAAGGGATAATATATCTACAGATGTTAGTTATGAGTTTGTGAGTGACTGGAGAAATTCTTCCTGGGACACTCCCAGGGACCTTTGCCCAGGCACCTCTGATCGCCTACAGCGGCGGGGGAGGGGAGCGCAGAGCGCTGGCAGGAGGCGGTGAAGTTTAGTGCTTCTAAGCAGGGCATCTGGGTCGCAGGCAGTGGTGCGGAAAACCCCTCTTGGAGACAGAAGTCTGTGGCGCTCCTGTCCTCTCCCTCCTTCTCTCCACTATTTTCCTGGTCATACCAAGAAGGAACTAACATGGTGTTCCAGGGCCTTTCCCCTACAGGAGCCACCCACTCGCCCAGTTTTTCTCCCTGGGGGCAGTGAAGGCTTCCGGAAGAAGCGCTGAGAAGTCAGGTGTCAGGCCTCCACGAACTTCAGCTAGCTTCTTGGGCTCGAGGGAGGGAGGGCGCGCAAAGCCGGAAGGAGGGGTTTGCGGCTGGGGAGAGCCAGAGGGCCCACCCCTACCCGGAAACTGGGGGTGGAGAGGCCCCAGGCCAGCTCACGCCAGTCTTCCAGCTCCGGGCTGGGCCTGAGGCCGGCAAGCCCCACCCCATTCCTCTGGGCACCTCGTGGCCCGGGCAGGTTTGTTTACGAATCCGGCTCCCTCCTCCTCCAGCCCGGCCCTCCGCCCGCCCCCAGGGTGGCCCCAGTTCCGTGAGAGGGGGAAACAGAGCCAGCCCCTGGTCCGCTGCCCTCCTCTCGCCTCCCCTTCCCTTCCTTCCTCCAGCCTCTTCCTAGAATGCCCACGGAGGGCAGGTCCTTTTCCCACACCTGTCTGGGCCATGCTCCTTTTCTGGGAATGGGGTGGTGTCCCTTTCTCCTCAACTCTGGACTCTGGAGCGGACTCAGGGCTACTTGTCTCAGGAGACGAAGGAGAAAAGGAAACTGCTTCACTTCTGGTTAAAAGAGGAACTTTTTTTTTTTTTAAATGCTGAGCTGGGCCGGGCCGGGCCGGGCGTGGTGGTCCACGCCTGTAATCCCAGCACTTTGAGAGGCCAAGGCGCGCGGACCACTTGAGGTCAGGAGTTCGAGACCAGCCTGGCCAACATGTTGAAACCCTGTCTCTACTAAAAACACAAACATCAGCGGGACGTGGTGGCACACACCTGTAATCCCAGCTACTGGGGAGTCTGAGGCAGGAGAATCGCTTGAACCCTGGAGGCAGAGGTTGCAGTAAATGGAGATCGTGCCACTGTAGTCCAGCCTGTGCAACAGATTGAGACTCCATCTCAAAAAAAAAACAAAACTAAATGCTTAGCTGCCAGGCAGGACTTCATCCCACTTGGGGTGCAGGGGTCTGGGTTTGTGTGGGTACCACAGGGGTTAGTTGACATTAAGCACACCTTCCTCAGGGGTGTGGCAAGCCTAGGCTCCCTGAGAAGCCTTAGGGGTTTGGGTATTTGGGGAAGGGAAGGGAAATGTTTTAATTATGTGTTTGTTCCAAACTGGAATCCCTAGGGGTCAGATTTAAATGTTCAGGAAAGCTCTATGTTTGATCTATTTGGGGTATAAGCCAGTCTCTGACCCTCCTCAGTTCCCTGAGCCTCCCTTCTCCAGTTCTCAAGAAAGTAGATGGATTGTGAAACTTCCAGTCTCTCAGCAATCTCTCTTCCTCTTCCTCACCATGCCTCCAACTGCTGTTGGTTTTGTTTGGTAAAGGATCTTCCAGCTCCAGAGACCATCAGCTGGGCTTACGGTCAGGGAATATTAAAAAAGGTTGAGCCAGAGTTCAGCTCCAACAATAACTAAATTGTGTTCCTGACCATGCCTCCCAACCCTCAAACAAAAATTCTCATTTTACAACCAGCCTTTCTCCTTCAGGGCCTTCAAGACCACCAGAGCCACAGACTGCAGAGTCGAATGAATGCCTTCCTAGTATTACTAGGTGCAGCCTAGGCAGGGATGAATCACAATGCTTCTCAGATAAGGAAAGAAAGACACAGCAAAGGTACAGAATGAGTCATTTTATTTTATTTATTTATTTATTTATGAGATAGAGTCTCGCTCTGTCGCCCAGGCTGGAGTGCAGTGGCGCCATCTCGGCTCACTGCAAGCTCTGCCTCCCGGGTTCACGCCATTCTCCTGCCTCAGCCTCCCCAGCAGTTGGGACTACAGGTGCCTGCCACCATGTCCGGCTAATTTTTTTTTGTATTTTTAGTAGAGACGGGGTTTCACCACATTAGCCAAGATGGTCTCGATCTCCTGACCTTGTGATCCGCCCGCCTCGGCCTCCCAAAGCGCTGGGATTACAGGCGTGAGCCACCGCGCCCAGCTTACAACAGAATGAGTCACTTTAAATAATGTTAATAATAATAAAGAAAAGGCCTAGCGCGGTGGCTCATGCCTGTAATCCCAGCACTTTGGGAGGCCGAGGCGGGCGGATCACGAGGTCAGGAGATCGAGACCATCTTGGCTAACACGGTGAAACCCCGTCTCTACTAAAAATACAAAAAATTAGCCGGGCGAGGTGGCGGGCGCCTGTAATCCCAGCTACTCGGGAGGCTGAGGCAGGAGAATGGCATGAACCTGGGAGGCGGAGCTTGCAGTGAGCCGAGATAGTGCCACTGCAGTCCGGCCTGGGCGAAAGAGCGAGACTGTCTCTAAAAAAACAAAAAAAAAAGAATATTGGCCGGGCGCGGTGGCTCATAGCTGTAATCCCAGGACTTTGGGAGGCCGAGGCGGGTGGATCATCTGAGGTCAGGAATTGGAGACCAGCCTGACCAACATGGAGAAACCCCATCTCTACTAAAAAAATACAAAATTAGCCGGGCATGGTGGTGCATGCCTGTAATCCCAGCTACTCAGGAGGCTGAGGCAGGAGAATCACTTGAACCCGGGAGGTGGAGGTTGCAGTGAACTGAGATTGCGCCATTGCACTTCAGCCTGGGCAACAAGAGCAAAACTCTGTCTCATAAAAACAAACAAAGAAACAAACACAAAAAAGATTATCAGCAACCAGTTAACAGCAGCCAGTACTGAATTTCTCACAAGTTCTGGGCTTGCCAACCAGAAAGAAGCCTGTCTTGTTTCAGTTTCTTTTTGGATCAGTTTCTTGCTTTTCCAGGGCTCTTAAAAGACTTCCGGGGATGTATGTGATGTTCCATCCAGCTTCTATAGTCCTAATTGCACTGAATGATCCTAGCCTGCTTATCACAAGCTTCTGATGTGAAAAGTCTAGGCTTGTTTTCTTGTTCAGAGAGGTGGAAAGTAAGGGTTTAGAAGACTGCAAGACTTTACTGTTTTGTCAAAAGACTCTCTTCTTTTCTAGCCTCCTTTAATCTAGAGTAGGCAGGACAGGTAAAAGAAATTTCAGTTAGTCCACTTTGTACTCAGCTGTAGTTGAGAGTTTGATGGAGTTTCATTCTTGTTGCCCAGGCTAGAGTGCAATGGCGCAACGTTGGCTCACTGCAACCTCCACCTCCGGGGTGCAAGCGACTCTCCTGCCTCAGCCTCCTTTGTAGCTGGGATTACAGGCATGCGCCACCACGCCTGGGTAATTTTGTATTTTTAGTAGAGATGGGGTTTCTCCATGTTGGTCAGGCTGGTCTCGAACTGCCAACCTCAGGTAACCCGCCTGCCTCAGCCTCCCAAAGTGTTGGGATTACAGGGGTAAGCCACCGCGCCCGGCCTGTAAAATGTTCTTAATTATCAGATTCCTAAATGGGAGACTGAAAAAAGCTGAGGATTGGGTTCAAAATCAGGAAGAGGCCCGGTGGCTCATGCCTGTAATTCCAACACTGTGGGAGGCTGAGACGGGCGGATCACTTGAGGTCAGGAGTTTGAGACCAGCCTGGCCAACATGGTGAAACCCCCATCTCTACTAAAAATAACAAAATTAGCCAGGGGTGGTGGCATGTGCCTGTAGTTCCAGCTACCTCGGAGGCTGAAGTGGGAGAATTACTTGAACCTGGGAGACGGAGGTTGCAGTGAGCCCATATCCTGCCACTGCACTCTACCCTGGGCGACAGAGGGAGACTCCATCTCAAAATAAAACAAACAAACAAACAAAAATTAGGAAGAATGATTTAACTTTTATAAGGCACCCAAATGAAAGCTGAGAATCAATCTTAGTATTATATCTGGAGACTATTCAGGATGGTCAGGATTAGGCTTCCCCTCCCATTTAACAAAAATGTTTACTGGGACTCAACTATATTCCAGGCCCTGAGAATCCAAAGTGAAAAGGCATCATCCCTGCCCTCAAATCGCTTAATGTAGTTGGGGAGACAGGATACTTAGATACCTCTAATGGTGGCAAATAAAAGGAGCACAGTGGCCAGTGTATTCAATAACTGAGGGGGGTAGGAAAGGCTTCATAGAAGTCATTCTTATAAAAGATATGAATTTGGCCGGGTGCAGTGGCTCACGCCTGTAATCCCAGCACTTTGGGAGGCCAAGGCAGGTGGATCACAAGGTCAAGAGATCAAGACCATCCTGGCCAACATGGTGAAAACCTGTCTCTACTAAAAATACCAAAATTAGCTGGGTGTGGTGGCGTGCGCCTGTAGTCCCAGCTACTTGGGAGGCTGAGGCAGGAGAATCGCTTGAGCCCAGGAGGCGGAGGTTGCAGTGAGCCAAGATCACGCCACTGCACTCCAGCCTGGCAACAGAGCGAGACCCTGTACCCCCAACAAAAAAAAATGGTTGGGCCCGGTGGCTCATGCCTGTAATCCCAGCACTTTGGGAGGCCGAGGTGGGCGGATCACGAGGTCAAGAAATCGAGACCATCCTGGCTAACATGGTGAAACCCCGTCTCTACTAAAAATACAAAAAATTAGCCAGGCGTGGTGATGGGTGCCTGTAGTCCCAGCTACTCAGTAGGCTGAAGCAGGAGAATAGCGTGAACCCGGGAGGCAGAGCTTGCAGTGAGCCGAGATCGCGCCACTGCACTCCAGTGTGGGCCATAGAGCGAGACTCTGTATAGAAAAAAAAAAGATACGAATTTTAAGCAGGGCATGGTGGCTCGTGCTTGTAATCCCAGCACTTTGGGATTGAGCTCAGGAGTTCAACACCAACTGGGCCACATAATGAGATCTCAACAAAACATCAAAAAGTTAACCAGGTAGCCAGGTGCAGTGCCTCACACCTGTAATCGCAGCACTTTGGGAGGCTGAGGCGGGCAGATCAACTCAGGTCAGGAGTTCAAGATCAGCCTGGCTAACATGGTGAAACCCTGTCTCTACTAAAAATACAAAAATTAGCCAGGCATGGTGGCACATGTCTGTAGTCCCAGCTACAAGGGACGCTGAGGCAGAAAGAATTGCTTCAATCTGAAAGGCAGAGGTTGCAGTGAGCCAAAGTCGCGCCACTGCACTCCAGCCTGGGAAACAGGGCAAGACTCCGTCTCAGGAAAAAAAAAAATTGCCGGGCGCAGTGGCTCACACCTGTAATCCCAGCACTTTGGGAGGCCGAGGTGGGCAGAGGATCACCTGAGGTCAGGAGTTTGAGATCAGCCTGGCCAACATGATGAAATCTCATCTCTACTAAGATACAAAAATTAGCCAGGCATAGTGGCGTGCACCTGTAATCCTAGCTACTTGGGAGGCTGAGGCAGGAGAATCACTTGAACCTGGGCGGCAGAGGTTGCAGTGAGCTGAGATCGCACCACTGCACTCCAGGCTTGGAGACAGAGTGAGACTCTCAAAAAAAAAAAAGAAAAGATAGACACTGCGTGTGTGCATGTAAGGGATCTGAATAGCCTTGATATAAGTTGGTTTTTTTGTTTTTGTTTTTTTTTTTCAGTCTAAAGAACACTTTTTCAGGTTTTTACAGAGCAATTGGACAAGATGGATCATGTCATTCATTTGCTCTCAGGGACTATCAATAAACTAGTATACGTCTAGGGCATTCCTCACTGGCCTCATGCTGAATTGTCTTCTTCTGGAGGAGCAAAGGGGAAAGGATTGTAAAAAGGATGATGGCTATTGAATTTCTGAATTTAGGTCTTTTTGTCAGTTTAATTTTATCCTAATTCCCAATTCGGGTGTAGTCTAGGACTATGGAAAAAACACAGGCTTTGGAACTAAACAGAACAGTCATAATTTAACTAAAATATCTGAGCCTCAGTTTTCTCATCTGTAAAAGGGGACAACTATCTCTTAAATTGGTAGGAATAATTAAATTAGATAAATATGTGAAATGTTTAGAATACTCCTCCACGGTGTTAAGTTTCCTCTCCCTACCTCCACCCCTAAGCAAGTTTAGGTATGGACAGTTGCTGAATGGACTAAACAGCTATTAGAATCTTCAGAGCTTGGTTTACAAAGATGAGTAATGCAGTTTCTTCCTTCCAGGAAATTTCTCCCTTTCTGGAAGTTTCTTTTCCCCAGTTTCTTCTCTTGGTGTTTTTGTTTTGTTTTGTTTTCTTTTCTTTTCTTTGAGACCAAATCTTGCTCTGTCGCCCAGGCTGGAGTGCAGTGGCATGATCCCCGGTCACTGCAACCTCCGCCTCTAGGTTCAAGCGATTTTCCTGCTTCAGCCTTCCGAGTAGCTGGGACTATAGGCATGCACCACCACGCCCGACTAATTTTTGTATTTTTAGTAGAGATGGGGTTTCACCATGTTGGTCAGGCTGGTCTCGAACTCCTGACCTCCAGTGATCTGCCCGCCTCTGCCTGCCAAAATGCTGGGATTACAGGCATGAGCCACTGCGCCCAGCCTTCTTGGTGTGTTTTAAACTAGGTTTAGGGCCTAATCACTTGAAAGAGCTACTTAAAAATAGGTTTAGGGTGGAAATCTAGGAATCTGCCTTTTTTGAAAAAAGAACCCAGAGGATTCTGAGAGTGTGTGACATTTCATTTTGAGAAACCTTGATACAGTGAGAGATGAAATTAATTGTCATGTATTCTGATAAATTTTATAATAAAGGTATCTAAGAGGATGATGCCATTTGATCCGTCCTGGGAGTAGGCTTTTTTTTTTTTTTTTCAGGAGCTAGACAGTAAAAATTAAAAAGCATCTATATATTTACTTTTTTTTTTTTCTTTGAGATGGAGTTTCACTGTCGTTGCCCAGGCCCGAGTGCAATGGCACGATCTTGGCTCACTACAACTTCTGCCTCCTGGATTCAAGCGATTCTCCTGCCTCAGCCTCCCAAGTGGCTGGGATTACAGACATGTCCCACCATGCCTGGCTAGTTTTATATTTTTAGTAGAGACGGGGTTTCTCCATGTTGGTCAAGCTGGTCTTGAACTCCTGACCTCAGGTGATCCGCCTGCCTCGGCCTCCCAAAATGCTGGGATTACAGGCATGAGCCACCGCGCCCAGTCTATATATTTACTTATTTTGGAGCAAGGTCTTGCTTTGTTGTCCTGGCTGGAGTGCAGTGGCAGGATTTGAGCTCACTGCAGCCTCAACCTCCTGGGTTCAAGCGATTCTTCCACCCCAGCCTCCCGAGTAGCTGGGACTACTGGCGCACATCACCACGTCTGGCTAATTTTTGTTATTTTTTGTGGAGACGGGGTTTCACCATGTTGCCCAGGCTGGTCTTTAACTCCTGGGCTCAAGCGATCCGCCCGCCTCGGCCTCCCATAGTGCTGGGATTACAGGTCTGAGCCATTGCGCCCGGCGGCAGTTTAATTCCCTCAAGAATTTATAGAAAACTTTTGGTGGAACTATTCTGGGTTGGAATCTAACACTACAACTCATTTGCTTTGTGACCTTGGGTAAGTCACTTCTCAGCCTAAATGTCTTCACTTATAAAATACATAATATAGCTGATACTTAATAAAATCTTCCTTTTAAGGATGACATGGAATACTAACTGCCTCCCTGACTTAGGCACCTAACACGGTAGGCAGTCAGCAATCACTTCACCTTTTTACCTGTTTAAAGCAGCAGAGGCCTCAGTTCTTACCTTCAAAGGGCTTAAAATAGTTTAGGAGAATTCACATTTTAAAACATAAGAACATATAAGCAGGTGACAACATATAAGATACAAATACTGAAGGACATGACCTCATCGTGTCATTGACAAGCTATTAAGGCCGGCTCCACCAAAACACGGATAAAGAGGAGGCCAGAAATCCAGGTGCCTGCAGTAAAGTTTCTTAACCTTCGTGATTGCAAAAAGCTGGAGCTCAGCTATCTTGCTTTATGCATAGGCGGTATTTACTATTAAGGGGGAAAAAATGGAAGTGACTTATCCGCACTTTAGCCTCAAGGCTTGAAAAGTTAACCAGTCGTTTAAGTGGTTAGCGCCTTTGTCTGGGGGAACTTAATAAAATCGCGTTTTCTGGAGTCTCACGGAGACTCTGCATATTGGTCAGCTCAGTATTAACTTATTCGGTGAGTGCTGTCACCAGATCTCGTCCCGCCTGCATTCCCAGGGCTTGCAGCGACATTGAGGCATCTGCCCGCCTGTCCGACCACCCGGGAGGGGGGTAAGATTTGAGAGGTACTTTATAGGGGCAGTTAAATGAAGACGCAAACAAGTCCTAGTGTTGATGCGGAACTGCGCGCCGAATGCCTTGGCTCTGACACCTGTTGAGCTGCAGGACTCCGCTAAAGCGTCCCACCTAATGACTGTAACAACGTCCCCTGAGGAGGGCCAATATGGCGACGGTCTCCTCTTGGCATAGCCCTCTTCCCTCCCTCATGATGGGCAGCTCCAGTAACGCCCATTGGCTAACTAGGAGGCGGTGCCAGGCCTACTTCGTCCCCTCATTGGATTGAATAACTGAGGGAGCCGCCAATTCTCCTCTGCCACTCCAAGTTTCCGCCCTCAGTTAATTCGGCGTTTAATTGGCTTTTAGTTCACGTCAATATGCGTCCTTTCCTGTCTCTTTTCAGTCTAACTCCAATCATAACGTTCCTGGCTGCCCGCCTGATTTCTGATTGGTTTTAATCAGCTTCATCCTCTCCTATTCCTGCCTACTTCTTACCTCTCCGCCCACTAGGATTTTGCCCAAGCATATCCCGGATTCTGGTTGGCCGTTGTTCTGTCATTCCTATCAAAGCTTTGCCTATCCCTACGTCTCAGGGAGCCCGCCTGCCGGTTGACTGGTTTCCTTCCAAGCCAATCATCTCCAGCTCCCGCCCATCTTCACTTCCTGCATCCTTCATTGGCTTTTAACACTGAGAGGGCGGTCTTTTTAGGCGGACACCAGGCACGCAACTTAGTCTCACACGCCTTGGAGAGCAAGCGAGTCTTGCCATTGGATAATTCCACCGTCTTTCTTCTGCAAGTCCCTCCTTTCCCCCTCCCTCATTGGGCGGGGCAGCAGAGAAGGGGCGGGGCCTAGGTTGGGCTTGTGGCGCGCTGCTCCCTCCTCCTTACCCCCCCCTCCCTGTCCGGTCCGGGTTCGCTTGCCTCGTCAGCGTCCGCGTTTTTCCCGGCCCCCCCCAACCCCCCCGGACAGGACCCCCTTGAGCTTGTCCCTCAGCTGCCACCATGAGCGGTAAGGATGAGTCCACTCCAAGCTTAGGGGTGGGAGGCGAGTGAGGGGGCGCGCGCGAGGGCCGACCGGGCGATCCCCGCCGTGAAGCGGGGGCGGGCGGGAGGCGGCGGCGGCGGCGGCCTAGGTCCCGCCCGGGGCGGAGGGAAGGGAGGGAGACGGGGCAGTGGCGGGGCCTCCGAGGAGGAGGGGGATGGGCCGCCCGCCCCGGGGGAGGGGGCAGCGTGGCCTCGCCCGCCCCCTGCCCGCCCCGGCCACGGGGGACGGGCCTTACCCCCCACTACTCGGCCGCCCGCCTGAGGCTCCTCCCGCCGGGGGCTGGAGCCGCGGGGGCGGCCCGAGCAGCGAAGGCCCCGCCCGGGCCAACCGCCTGCCTGGTCCGCCCTCTGGTCGCCGCCTGCTCCAAGGCCCTCCTCCCCCCACTTTCCGTAGATTTCCCTTCCCCCCCGCCCCCCACCGTCCCGCCCTTTCCACGCCCCTCACCCCGAAACC
>NW_018654719.1:0-64689 GCF_000001405.40 Homo sapiens
AATTCCTCAACCTCCAAAACTATGTATATTTTCAGCTTGATCAACTATCCTTAAAGTGTACCTCTTTGAACAAGATACCGGCTGGGTGCGGTGGCTCATGCCTGTAATCCCAGCACTTTGGGAGGCCAAGGCAGGCAGATCACCTGAAGTCAGGAGTTTGAGACCAGCCTTGCCAACATGGTGAAACCCTATCTCTACTAAAAATACAAAAATTAGCCGGGCATTGTGGTGGGCACCTGTAGTCCCAGCTACTCAGGAGGCCGAGGCAGGAGAATCGCTTGAACCCGGAAGGTTAAGGTTGCAGTGAGCCGAGATGGCGCAGCTGCACTCCAGCCTGGGTGACAGAGTGAAACTGTGTCTCAAAAAAAAAAAAGTCCTGACACACTGGCTCACGCCTGTAATCCTAGCACTTTGGGAGGCCAAGACGAGCAGATTGCCTGAACTCAGGAGTTTGAGACCAGCCTGGGTAACATGGTGAAACCCCGTGTCTACTAAAACACAAAAAATTAGCCAGGGGTCGCAGTGTGCGCTTGTAGTTCCAGCTACTCGGAAGGTTGAAGCAGAATTGCTTGAACCCAACAGGCGGAGGTGCAGTGAGCTGAGATCATGCCACTGCACTCCAGCCTGGGTGACAGAGGCAAGACTCCGTCTCCAAAAAAAAAAGATACCAAGTTTCTTAGAGGTATAAAAAATACGTTGGTGTGCCTTGGCGAGGCGGGAACACCTTTCTAGCTCCAAAGTCCAGACCCTTACCCACTCTATTCCACACTGCCACCCTTATTCATGACACCTGTTGCACACAAACTGAGTCATGGGGACCAGCCATCATTGCTCGCAGCTGAGGCCTAAAAACGCGTACCCTGCGTCCCCTCCACCGCCACCAGCCAGCAGTCTGGGAGGCACCCCTAGCTCATGATGCCGGGTAGAGGAGGGGCCGCTGTTTGCATGTGACTCTAGCTTCCTCACTGCTAGGCTGTGCCTAATTATTTTATTTTTATTTATTTATCTATCTATTTATTTATTTATTTATTGAGACGGAGTCTTGCTCTGTCGCCCAGGCTCGAGTGCAGTAGCGCCATCTTGGCTCACTGCAAGCTCCGCCTCCCGGGTTCACGCCATTCTCCTGCCTCAGCCTCCCAAGGAGCTGGGACTACAGGCGCCCGCCACCACGCCCGGCTAATTTTTTGTATTTTTAATAGATACGGGGTTTCACCGTGCTAGCCAGGATGATCTCGATCTACTGACCTCGTGATCCGCCCGCCTCGGCCTCCCAAAGTGCTGGGATTATAGGCGTGAGCCACCGCGCCCGGCGGCTGTGGCTAATTATTAGGTAACTAGCGTCGTTGGGTCTCCCTACCTGAAGGCCTAAAGGCTGGAGATAAGAGGGCTGAAGGGGAGTAGAGCCAGGACTGGTGGGCCTGGGAGCCACCAATAGTCCCAGAAGATCCTACGGGGACTTTGCCTTCTGCTCCTGATCTCTGGAATCGATTCATCAGCCTGAGCTTCGACTCCAGCCTCTGCATCCGCTTCTCCCAAGGTGATTCCTCAATGTCTGCTCTGGGCACCTCATGGATGCATCGCAAGGGCTTTAGGGAGTCCTCTGCTCACAGGGATTGACCTACCCGCTTGCCAGGTCTCAAGCTCTTGAGAGAAAGCCTGATGCTCTTTTTGTCTTCACCTCCATCCTAGGCACTGGGTAGGAACACAGCCAAGAACGATTGCAGGATGGGTCCTTCCAGGACACTGACGTCTCAGCTTGCGCACTGTGAGTCCCTGGACGAGTTACTCCACCTCTCTGAACCTCCTCCTCACTTGCATAATGGGAAAAATAATGGACATAGGAAGATGAAACAAGACCTTGGAGACCACATTTACCATCTTATTTTCCTTGTTCCTTTTTCTTTTCTTTTTTTGTTTTTGTTTGTTTGTTTTTTGGAGACAGGGTCTCACTCTGTCACCCAGGCTGGCGTGCAATGGCGCGATCTCAGCTCACTGCAGCCTCTGCCTCCTGTGTTCAAGGGATCCTCCCACCTCAGCCTCCCGGGTAGCTGGCACCACAGACGCACACCACCATGCCTGGCTAAATTTTTTTGTATTTTTAGTAGAAGTGGGGTTTTACCATGTTGGCCAGGCTGTTCTCGAACTCCTGGCCTCAAGTGATCCGTCCACCTCGGCCTCCCAAAGTGCTGGGATTACAGGCGTGAACCACTGAGCCCGGCCCCTTGTTCCCTGTTCTGTTTCTTTTTCACTGTTATCACTGATCACCATCGATCATATTATCTACATATCTATTAGATTGGCGCAAAAGTAATTGCTGTTTTTGCCATTACCTCCAATGGCATTACTTTCAGTGGCAAAAACTGCAATTACTTTTGCGCCAACCTAATATATTGAGACAGGGTCTCTCTCTGTCACCCAGGCTGCTGGAGGGCAGTGACACAATCACAGCTCACTGCCATGTCCAACTCCTGGATTCAAGTGATCCTCCCGCCTCAGTCTCCTGATTACCTGGGACTACAGGCATGTATCACCACACCCAGCCGGTTTTTTTGTTTGTTTGTTTTTGAAACAGTTTTGCTTTTGCCCCCCAGGCTGGAGTGCAATGGCATGATCTTGGTTCACTGCAACCTCTGCCTCCGGGGTTCAAGCGATTCTCCTGTCTCAGCCTCCCAAGTAGCTGGGATTACAGGTGCCTACCACCACACCTGGCTAATTTTTGGTTTTGTGGGTGTGTGTGTGTGTGTGTGTGTGTGTGTGTGTGTGTGTTGGAGTCTGGCTCTGTCACCCAGGCTGCTGGAGTGCAATGGCGCAATCTTCAGCTCACTGCAACCTCTGCCTCCTGGGTTTAAGCAATTCTCCTGCCTCAGACTCCTGAGTAGCTGAGATTACAGGTGTCCACCACCACGCCCGGCTAATTTTTGTATTTTTAGTAGAGACAGGGTTTCACCGTGTTGGCCAGGCTGGTCTCCATCTCCTGACCTCAGGTGATCCACCTGCCTCAGCCTCCCAAAGTGCTGGGACTACAGGCGTGAGCCACCACGCCCGGCTCAAGTTTCTCTTTTTCTTTTTTTTTTTTTACATTTTGTAGAGACAGGGTCTCACTATGTTGCCCAGGCTGGTCTTGAACTCCTGATCTCAAGCAATCCTCCCTCTCTGGCTCCCGAAGTGCGGGGATAATAGGCATGAACCACTGTGCACAGCCCATATTTTATATTCTACTTAACTGAGTTTCTTTAGTTTTTATTCCTCCCACTAGGATGTCTGTTTTGTTTACCTCC
Organism: Homo sapiens; assembly: GCF_000001405.40. Lineage (NCBI taxonomy): Eukaryota > Metazoa > Chordata > Mammalia > Primates > Hominidae > Homo > Homo sapiens. The sequence goes on from NW_018654719.1 coordinate 3,279, forward strand.
ATATCTCCAGCCCCTAGAACAGAACTTGGTTCATGGTGGGTTCAGTAACTATTTGAATTAAATGAATAGATGGACGTAAAATGGTTAGTACTGCGGTGCCCAGTAATGGTAGGTATCAAACTTAGTCTCTGTGCTCCAACAGAAAGCAGTGTAATTTAAGATGGGCACAGTGGGCTGGGCGCGGTGGCTCACACCTGTAATCCCAGCACTTTGGGAGGCCGAGGCAGGTGGATCACCTGGGGTCAGGAGTTCGAGACTGGCCTGGCCAACATGGTAAAACCTTGTCTCTACTAAAAATACACAAAATTAGCTGGGTGTGGTGGTGGTCACCTGTAATCCCAGCTACTTGGGAGGCTGAGGCAGGAGAATTGCTTCAACCTGGGAGGTGGAGGTTGCAGTGAGCCAAGATCACGCCACTGCACTCCAGCCTGGGCGACAGAGCGAGACTCCGTCTCAAAAAAAAAAAAAGATGGGCACAGTGGCTCCCGCCTGTAATCCCAGCACTTTGGGAGGCCGAGGTGGGCAGATCACCCGAGGTCAGGAGTTCGAGACCAGCCTGGCCAACATGGTGAAAAACCCTGTCTCTACTAAAAATACAAAAATTAGCCGGGTATGGTGGCACACGCCTATAGTCCCAGCTACTTGGGAGGCTGAAGCAGGAGAATCACTTGAACCTGGGAGGCAGAGATTGCAGTAAGCCAAAATCTGGCCACTGCACTCCAGCCAGGGTGACAGAGCCAGACTCCATCTCAAAAAAAAAAGAACGAAAGAAAGAGAGCAGTGTAATTGGAGCAGGGAAAATGCAGCATCGTAATAGGAGGTACAGGTTAGGAGCTCTGGCTGAGAAATCCCGTCTGTACCATGTACCAGCTGTGTGACCTGGAACAGAAGAATGAATTCACCTTCCTGAGGCTCAGTCTCCTCATCTGTCAAATGCAGGTGATGTAGGACCTCCTGGGAAGGATGTGAGCATGCAGGAGATGGTAAATGAAAAGCACTTAGCAGAGTGTCTGGTGCATAATAAGTGCTCAGAAAACACTGGCCTACGCTGTTCATTATAGTAATACTCAGATGAGGGGGACCTCTGAGTCAATTAAACAGTTGCTAAGCACTTAAAATATGTCACGGGCCAGCGAGTCCAGTAAACATTTATTGACTTAAATCTGTGAACTCCTTAAGGGAAGGGACTGTGTCTACATTGTCATGATCCCGGCCCCAGAAGATGCTAATTAATGTGAAAACATGCTGGAAAAGTTACATACTGAACTCAAATATGAGTTAGAATACAGAATAGCTATTAGAGTAATAACACCCATTGCCTAACATGTGCCAGGCTTGCTGTTGGGTGTTGGAGAAAGGGCAGGGAGCTTAAACAAACATGGGAACTTACAGCTTAGCAGGGGAGACAGACTTTGTTCTGAGAATTGCACAGATAGAGAGGAAACTCTGAAGTTGATAAATATCACAAAGAAGACATATGTGGTGCTGTGAGTTCCATAATATGGAGGGAGGGAGGGTTGACCTGGTCTCGGACTGGGGAGGGAGTGATGCCTAGAGCTGAGCTCTGAAGAAAAGTTCTTTGCTAGGCTGAGTGTTGGGGAAGTGCTCTCAGCAGATGAAATGGCAGATAGAATAGGCCTTCTGACTGAGGCACACATGTGCTAAAGGGCGCAAAAGAAGGCCCATATGACACAAGCATAGTGAGCTGAGGGTGCGATTGGGGGTGAAATAAACTGCAAAAATTAGTAGACACTTTGGGAACTAGCTGGGCAATGTCTGATAAAGCTGAAGGTGTGTGTAACCTATGATGCAGCCGCTCCACAGCTGAGGACATTGTTGACAGAAATGCAGGAGTGCACTGGGAAGCATGAACAAGAATGATGGCCCTAGCAGCATTGTATATCATCACAAAAAACTGGAAATAGGCTGGGCGCGGTGACTCATGCCTGTAATCCCAGCACTTTGGGAGGCCAAGGCAGGCAGATCACCTGAGGTCAGGAGTTCGAGACCAGCCTGGCCAACACGGTGAGACCCCATCTCTACTAAAAATACAAAAATTAGCCGGGTGTGGTGGCACATGCCTATAATCCCAGCTACTCGGGAGGCTGATCAGGAGAACTGCTTGAACCCGGGAGGCGGAGGTTGCAATGAGCCAGGATCGTACCACTGCACTCCAGCCTGGGGCAACAGAGCAAGACTTTGTCTCAAAAAAAAAAAAAAAAAAAAAAAAAAGACAGGTTCAGGCCTGGTGTGGTAGCTCACATTTGTAATGCCAGCACTTTAGGAGGCCAAGACAGGAGAATCGCTTTAGTCCAGGAGTTTGAGACCAGCCTGGGCAACTTAGTGAGACTCTGTCTCTGCAAAAAAAAATGTAAAAGTATGGGCGCGGTGGCTCATGCCTGTAATCCCAGCATTTTGGGAGGCCGAGGCAGGTGGATCACCTGAGGTCAGGAGTTCGAGACCAGCCTGGCCAACATGGCAAAACCCCATCTCTACTAAAAATACAAAAATTTGCTGGGCATGGTGGTGTGTGCCTGTAATCCCAGCTACTCAGGAGGCTAAGGCAGGAGAATCACTTGAACCTGGGAGGCGGAGGTTGCAGTGAGCCAAGATTGCACCATTGCACTCCAGCCTGGGCAACAAGAGCAAAACTCCATCTCAAAAAGAAAAATGAAAAAAATTAGCTGGGTGTGGTGGTGCACTCCTGTGGTACCAGTTTCTCTGGAAGCTAAGGTGGGAGGATCACTTGAGCCCACAAAATCAAGGCTGCAGTGAGCCATGATCGCAACACTGCACTCCAGCCTGGGCAACAGAGTGAGACCCTGTCTCCAAAAAAAAAAAAAAAAAAAAATTCTGGGCACGGTGGTTCACGCCTGTATTCCCAGCACTTTGGGAGGCCCAGGCAGGTGGATCACTTGAGGTCAGGAGTTCAAGACCAGCCTGGACAACAGGCTGTATTTTGTATTTTGTCTATTAAAAATAGAAAAATTAGCTCGGCATGGTGGCGTGTGCCTGTAATTCCAGCTACTTGGGAGGCTAAGGCAGAGTTACTTAAATCTGGGAGGTGGAAGTTGCAGTGAGCTGAGATCGCGCCACTGCACTCCAGCCTGGGCGACAGGGAGACTCCATCTCAAAAAAATAAAAAAATAAAAAATACAGGCAGGTTCTTGCAACATGTATTTCCTGTGTACCAGACCTTGTGTTAGTCCTTCCTTCATGCATTCAACATGTATTAAACACCTACTGTGTGCCAGGCCTGATGCCTGTAATTTATTCATACATTATTTATTCAATCCAAGCAGGATTTATGGAGTGCTTAGGTAATGCTAAGCTCTGAGCTTGTCATTCAATGCAATGTATGTTTATCAAGCAGCTACTGTATACAGCTGTCCCAATCAGTGCCTGGGTACACAGTAGTTCAATAAATGCCTGAATGAATGAACGCCCTCAAGGAGCCCCCAGTCTTCCTGCTAACATGGCCTGTAAATAAATAACTCTAACACACAAAGATAAGGCTAGAAGGTGGGTGTGTTTAGAGTGCAGAGGGCCCCTTATCACCTGTACTGCCAGGTACCTTTCTCAGGGCCATATCTTCTCACCTGGGAACCAGCTCTTTGAAGGTGAGGCCAGGCTGGCCCCTAGCTCACCTGCCTGTCCATCCCCGGGCACCCATGGAGGACTTTGCCTGCAGCTCCCACTCAATCATTGCCTGCTGTCTAATTACGGCCGCTTCCGTGACCGCAGTTGTTCCTTCCTTCATACACCAGGCAAGAGGGCAGCAGCTGAGTTCTAACCCTGGAGCTCTGGCAAAGGGCCTGCACTTCTGACAGGTGCCCTCCCTCAGATTTGGCCTGATTTTCCATCTATGAAATGAAAGATTTGATTCTCCTCCTCCTTGACTTCTTAACACCTTGCCTGGACTCCTATAATGGCAAGTTAATTTTGAAAAATTATAGAGGTAATCCATGATCTAATTTTGCAAAAACCCAGACAATGCATAGAAATCATTGAAGATGGGCCAGGCGTGGTGTCTCACGCCTGTAATCCCAGCACTTTGGGAGGCCAAGGCGGGCGGATCACCTGAGGTCAGGAGTTCGAGACCAGCCTGGCCAACATGGCGAAACCCTGTCTCCACTAAAAATACAAAAATTAGCCAGGCATGGTGGTGCATGCTAGTAATCCCAGCTACTCAGGAGGCTGAGGCAGGGGAGTCGCTTGAACCCAGGAAGCGGAGGTTGCAGTGAGCCGAGATCATGCCGTTGCACTCCAGCCTGGGCAACAGAGTGAGACTTCATCTCTAAAAAAATAAATAAATAAATAAATAAAAGAAATCATTGAAGACTCAAATCTTCACTAGAGTCACAAAGCTTTGCACAATCCAAAACTTTCCTTCCTTCCTTCTTTTTTTTATTTATTTATTTATTTTATTTTATTTTTTTGAGATGGAGTTTCGCTCTTGTTGCCCAGGCTGGAGTACAATGGTGTGATCTCGGCTCACTGCAACCTCCACCTCCCAGGTTCAAGCGATTCTCCTGCCTCAGCCTCCCGAGTAGCTGGGATTACAGGCATATGCCACCACACCCAGCCAATTTTTTGCATTTTTAGTAGAGATGGGGTTTCTCCATATTGGTCAGGCTGGTCTTGAACTCCCAACCTCAGGTGATCCGCCCACCTCGGCCTCCGAAAGTGCTGGGATTACAGACATGAGCTATCGCGCTCAGCCTCCTCCTCTTTAACTGTGGTAAAATATATTCTGCAGGTTTTTTTTGTGATGGTTGTTTGTTTGTTTGTTTGTTTGTTTGTTTGTTTGTTTTTGAGATGGAGTCTCGCTCTGTCGCCCAGGCTGGAGTGCAGTGACACCATCTCGGTTCACTGCAACCTCACCTTCCTGGTTCAAGCCATTCTCCTGGCTCAGCCTCAGAGTGGCTGGGACTATAGGCATGCGCCGCCACACCCCACTAATTGTTTTGTGTTTTTTGTAGAGACAAGGTGTCTCCATGTTGTCCAGGCTGGTCTCTAACTCCTAGGCTCAAGAGATCTGCCCACCTCAGCCTCCCAAGGTGCTGGGATTATAGGCTTGAGCAACCATGCCTGGCCTCCTTTTTTTGTGGGGGAGACAGGATCTTGCTGTGTTGCTTAAGCTGGAGTGCAGTAGTGCAATCATAGCTCACTGCAGCCTCAACCTCCTGGGCTTAAGCAAGCCTCTTGTCTCAGCCTCTCGAGTAGCTGGGGCTATAGGTGGACACCACCACACCCAGCTAATTTTTAATTTTTTTATAGAGATGGGGGTCTCACCATGTTGCCCAGGCTGGTCTCAAACTCCTGTCTCAAGTGCTCCACCTACCTCCCCAAAGTGCTGGGATTACAGGGCGGGAGCCACTGCGTCTGACTGTATATTACCTTTTATTGTGGTCTTATCATCAGTTAGTTTAGAACATTTACAGGATGAACTTTAATAATGTATTGATTATTTTGGCAAGAAAATGGCTAATAATATTTGCCGTAGTAAAACTGAGTCATTAGATTACTTTCTGGAGTTACTTACTGCCAAGCAAAGTAATAAAGACTGTTCCACTGTGGGAAGGTGTGAAAATAAATAACATTACGCGATTCTGAGCTTAAAAATAGGAAATAAACTTATATGTACGGTTTTAAAAATAATAATATAGGGGCCGGGAGCGGTGGCTCATGCCTGTAATCCCAGCACTTTGGGAGGCCGAGGCAGGTTGATCCAAGGTCAGGAGATCGAGACCATCCTGGCCAGCATGGTGAAACCTTGTCTCTACCAAAAATACAAAACTTAGCCAGGCATGGTGGCACACACCTGTAGTCCCAGCTACTTGGGAGGCTGAGACAGGAGAATCGCTTGAACCCAGGAGGCTTGCAGTGAGCCAAGATTGCACCACTGCACTCCAGCCTGGGCGATAGAGGGAGACTCCATCCCAAAAAAAAAAAAAATAATATATATATATATATATATATATATACACACACACACACACACACACAATTATTACTATCGACTTAAGAGAGAAAACATTAACAGTTTCATAGCAGTGCTATTGACAACAACCACAAAGGTGAAAATGACCCAAATGTCCATCAGTAGATAAATGGAAAAATAAAACATGGTATATGGAATATAATATAATATGGAATATGATTCAGACTTAAAAACAAAGGAAATTCTGACACATGCTGCAACAAGATAAACCTTGAAGACATGCTAAGTGAAATAAGCCAGACATGAATGGACAAATATGGTATGATTCCATTAATATGAAGTACCTAGAGTATTTCAATTCATGGAAACAGAAAACAGAATGATGGGCCCAAGGGCTGGGCGTGGAGGCTTATGCCCGTAATTCCAGCACTTTGAGAGGCCAAGGCGGGTGGATCATCTGAGGTCGGGAGTTCGAGACCAGTCTGACCAACATGGAGAAACCCTATCTCATGGCCGGGTGTGGTGGCTCATGCCTGTAATCCCAGCAGTTTGGGAGGCCGAGGCGGGCTGATCACCTGAGGTCGGGAGTTTGAGACCAGCCTGACCTGCAGGGAGAAACCCTGTCTCTACTAAAAATACAAAATTAGCCAGGCGTGGTGGCACATGCCTGTAATCCTACCTACTAGGGAGGCTGAGGCAGGAGAATCGCTTGAACCCGGGAGGCGGAGGTTGCGGTGAGCCGAGATCGTGCCATTGCACTCCAGCCTGGGCAACAAGAGCGAAACCCCATCTCAAAACAAAAAAAAGAGAGAAAAAGAAAACCCATCTCTACTAAAAATACAAAATTAGCTGGGCGTGGTGGCGCATGCCTGTAATCCCAGTTACTGGGGAGGCTAAGGTAGGAGAATTGCTTGAACCCGGGCAGCGGAGGTTATGATGAGCCAAGATTGTGCCATTACACTCCAGCCTGGACAACAAGAGCGAAACTCCATCTCAAAAAAAAAAAAAAAAAAGAGTCAGGCGTGGTGGCGCGTAGCTGTAATCCCAGATACTTGGGAGGGTGAGACAGACGAATCACTTGAACGTGGGAGGCAGAGGTTGCAGTGAGCCGAGACTGAGCGACTGCATGTCAGCCTGGGCGACAGAGTGAAACTCTATCTCAAAAAAAAAAAAAAAAGAAAGAAAGAAAGAAAAGAGAGAAAGAAAACAGAATAGAATATAGAATAGATATAATGGTGGTGGCCAGGGGCTGGATGGAGGGGGATATTCTGGGGAGTTAGGTTTAATGGGGACAGACTTTTTGTTTGAGAGGATGGAAAAGTTCTAGACGTGGATGGTGGTGATGGTTGTACAACAGTGTGAATATGCTTAATGTCATGGAGCTGTACACTTAAAAATTGTTACAATGATAAATTTTATGTTACATATATTTTGTCACAATTAAAAAAAGCAGCAGTACTCACTCACTTTGGCAGCACGTATACTGAAATTGAAACCGCACATAGCACTTTAGCATGGCCCTTGCGCGAGAATGACAAGCAGATTCATGAGGCTGAGACATTCCATGTTAAAACAGCAGCAACAGAAGCCCAGCAATCCCAGTGTCTCTTTGAAATTCTCCATGGCCGGGCGTGGTGGCTCACGCCTGTAATCCCAGCACTTTGGGAGGCCAAGGTGGGTGGATCACGAGGTCAGGAGATCCAGATCATCCTAGCTAACATGGTGAAACCCCATCTCTACTAAAAATACAAAAAAAATTTAGCCGGGTGTGGTGGCGGGCGCCTGTAGTCCCAGCTACTCAGGAAGCTGAGGCAGGGGAATGGAGTGAACCCAGGAGGCGGAGCTTGCAGTGAGCCGAGATGGCACCACTGCACTCCAGCCTGGGCAACAGAGTGAGACCCCATCTCAAAAAAAAAAAAAAAAAGAAATTCTCCACGGACCCATCCCAGTCTCTTCCTCCTAACCCCCTGAAAGTACTAGTATATTTTTGTATTTATCGCTTATTGTACCATTGCAGGGTTTTTTTGTTTGTTTATTTGTTTTTGAGATGGAGTCTTGCTCTGTCACCCAGGCTGGAGTGCAGTGGCGCGATCTCAGCTCACTGCAACCTCTGCCTGCCGGGTTCAAGTGATTCTCCTGCCTCAGCCTCCCGAGTAGCTGGGATTACAGGTGCCCGCCACCATGCCTGGCTAATTTTTGTATTTTTTGGTAGATATGGAGTTTCACCATCTTGGCCAGGCTGGTCTTGAACTCCAGGCTGGTCTTGAACTCCTGACTTCGTGATCCACCCGCCTCGGCCTCCCAAAGTGCTGGGATTATAGGCATGAGCCAGCACGCCCGGCCTTTTTTTAAATTTTTTTTCGAGACAGAGTCCCACTCTATCACCCACCCTGGAGTGCGGTAGCGCAGTCTCGTTTACTGCAATCCCCTCCTCCCAAGTTCAAGGGATTCTCCTGCCTCAGCCTCCCAAGTAGCTGGCATTACAGCTGCGCACCACCACACCCACCTAATTTTTGTATTTTTTAGTAGAGACGGGGTTTTGCCATGTTAGCCCAGCTGGTCCCAAACTCCTGACCGCCTGCCTCAGCCTCTCAAAGTGCTGGGATCACAGGCGTGAGCCACCGTGCGCTGGCCTAGTTTTTATATATATTGTTTTCTTTGGCATGTTCTTTTTGTTTTGAATCATTCACTTGTTTCCTTTTTATTTTTAGAGATGGGGGTCTCCCTCTCTCACCCAGGCTGGAGTGCACTGATGCAATCACAGCTCACTGCAGCCTCAAACTCCTAGGCTCAAGGGATCCTCCTTCCTTAGCCTCCCCAGTAGCTAGGACCACAGGTGCAAGCCAGCATGCCTGGCCAATTTTTTACTTTTATTTTTTGTAGAGACAGGGTTTCGCCATGTTGCCCAGGCTGGTCTTGAACTCCTGGCCTCAAAATATCTCCCTGCCTCTGCCTCCCAAAGTGCTGGGTTTACAGGTGTGAGCCAATGCACCCAGCCATTTCTTCTTTTTTGATTTAAAAATATTTAATTGATAATGGCCAGGCGTGGTGGCTCACATCTGTAATCCCAGCACTTTGGGAAGCCAAGGCGGGTGGATCATGAGGTCAGGAGTTCAAGACCAGCCTGGCCAACATGGTGAAACCCTGTCTCTACTAAAAATACAAAAATTAGCCGGGCGTGGTGGTGCGCGCCTGTAATCCCAGCTACTCAGGAGGCTGAGGCAGGAGAATAGCTCGAACCCGGGAGGCAGAGGTTGCCGTGAGCCGAGATCGTGCCATTGCACTCCAGCCTGAGACAGAGCAAGACTCTATCTCAAAAAAAAATTTTAACTGATAAATTGAATTGTATATATTCAAGATGTACAGTGTGATGAGTTGAAATCCATTGTGTCCTGATTACCATGGTCATATTGATTAACGCATATCCATCACTCCCATAGTTTCCATTTTACTTGTCCTGTCTTTGAATTTTATGTAAATAGACTTGATAGTATACATATACAATTGTCCGAATGTTAGTGTCCCCCCAAAATTCATGTGTTGGAACCTAATACCCAATGCAATAGTATTAAGAGATAGGTCCTTTGGGAGGTGATTAAGTTATAAGGTTCTGCGTGTGTGAAGGGATTAGTGCCCTCATAAAAGCAGCTCGAGGGGGCTATGTGCTGTGGCTCATGCCTGTAGTCCCAGAACTTTGGGAGGCTGAGGTAGGCAGATTGCTTGAGCCCAGGAGTTCGAGACTGGCCTGGGCAAACATGGGGAGACCCCGTCTCACTACACAATATTAGCCGGTTGTGGTGGTGCATTCCTGTGGTCCCAGCTACCCAGGATGCTGAGGTGGAAGGATCACCTGAGCCTGGGAGAATGAGGCTGTAGTGAGCTGTGATTGTACCACTACACTTCAGCCTGGGCGACAGAGTGAGATCCTGTCTCAACAACAGCAACAACCAAATAAATAAATAAAAGAGGTCCCCAGCCTGGCCAACATGGCGAAATCCTGTGTCTACTAAAAATACAAAAATGTGCTAGGTGTGGTGGTGCATGCCTGTGATCCCCAAGGGAGGAGAATCACTTAAATCCAGAAGCTGGAGCTTGCAGTGAGCTGAGATCATGCCATTGCACTCCAGCTTGGACGACAGAACTGACCTTGTCTGGAAAAGAAAAAAAGAGACCCGAGTGGAGAAGCTAGCCCCTTTCCACCATGGAAGATACAGCAACAGGGTGCCATTTTTGAAGTAAACTAAGTCCTCACCAGAGACCGAGTCTGCTGGTGACTTGACCTTGAACTTCCCAGCCCCCAGAACTATGACCAATACATTGCTGTTGTTTTATTTATTTATTTATTTTATTTTATCTGAGACAGAGTTTCACTCTCTCACCCAGGCTGGAGTGCAGTGGCTTGATCTCAGCTCAATGCAACCTCTGCCTCCCAGGTTCAAGCAATTTTCCTGTCCCAGCCTCCCGAGTAGCTGGGATTACAGGTGCCCACCACCATGCCCAGCTAATTTTTTGTATTTTTAGTAGAGACAGGGTTTCAACATTTTTGCCAGGCTGGTCTTGAACTCCTGACCTCAGGTGATCCACCCACCTCAGCCTCCCAAAGTGCTGGGATTACAAGCGTGAGCCACCATGCCCAGCCTAGTTTTATTATTTGTAGAGATGGGGTCTGGCCATGTTACCCAGGCTGATCTGGAACTCCTGGGCTCAAGTGATCCTCCTGACTTGACCTCCAAATGTGCTGGGATTATAGGCACCTGGCTTGAAATTTTGTTTGTTTGTTTTGTTTTGTTTTGAGATGGGGGCTTACTCTGTCACCCAGGCTGGAGAGCAGTGGTGCGATCTCCACCCGCTGCAACCTCTGCCTCCCAGGTTTAAGCGATTCTGATGCCTCAGCCTCCTGAGTAGTTGGGATTACAGTCATGCGTCACAACACACTGCCTGGCTAATTTTTGTATTTTTGGTAGTGATGGGGTTTCGCCATGTTGGCCAGGCTGGTCTTGAACTCCTAACCTCAGGTGATCTACCCGCCTTGGCCTCCCAAAGTGCTGACATTGCAAACGTGAGCCACCACACTGGAGAGATAGGCAGGAACTAGATCACATCAGTCTTTCCCATGCTGGGGAAGGCGCTTGGATTTCATCCTAACTCAGATTCTCAGATGCATGGTCACTGGAGGGCTGTACACAGTGTGGCAGGCTGAGTAAATGTCCCCCAGGGATGTCCATGTCTTACTGTCTGGCACCTGTGAATATGTGACCGTATATGGATGAAGGGACTTTGCGGATGTGATGGAGTGAAGGATTTTAAGATTGATCCTGGATTACCTGGGTGGGCCCAGTGTAACCACAGGTGTCCTCAGGAGAGGTAGAGGAGGTCAGAGAAGCGATGTGACAATGGAAGCAGAGTCTGGAGAGGCGTGACCTGCTTTAGAAACAGAAGGGGCTGCACACTAAGGAATGCAGGCAGCCAGCAGAAGGGAAAAAGCAAGAAATGGATTTTCCCATTATCTCATTGGAGCCTCCAAAGGAACCAGCCCTGCTGTCACCTTAATTTTGGCCCCTGATGATTCATTTTGAACTTCTTACCTCTAGAACTAAGATAATGAATTTGTGTGTGTGTGTGTGTGTGTGTGTTTGTGTGTGTGTTTTGAGATGGAGTCTCACTCTGTCTCGCCCAGGCTGGAGTGCAGTGATGTGATCTCGGCTCACTGCAAGCTCCGCCTCCCGGGTTCAAGCAATTCTCCTGCCTCAGCCTCCCGAGTCGCTGGGATTACAGGCACCCGCCACCACGCCTGGTTAATTTTTGCTTTTTTTTTTTTTTTTTTTTTTGGAGACAAAGACTCGGTCTTGTCCCCCAGGCTGGAGTGTGATGGCGCAATCTCGGCTCACTGCAACCTCTGCCTCCTGGGTTCAAGAGATTCTCATGCCTCAGCCACCTGAGTAGCTGGGATTACAGGAGACTGCCACCACGCCCGGCTAATTTTTGAAATTTTAGTAGAGATGGGGTTTCACCATGTTGGCCAGGCTGGTCTCGAACTCTTGACCTCAGGTGATCTGCCCACCTCGGCTTCCCAAAGTGCTGGGATTACAGGCATGAACCGCCGCGCCCGGCCAATTTATGGTAATTTCTTACAGCAGCAATGGGAAACTAATACAAGCAGAGAAAGGACATGATCAGATTTATGTTTCAAAAACTATTTCTTGTTGCTATTACAGAATGGGCTTTAGCGGGATCAGCAGAAGCAGAGAGCCCGGGTGGGTAACTGCAGACGTGTGGGTGGGCAACAATGGCAGCCCGGATGTGATGGAATGGTTGCTGCTGGACGGAAGAGCTCAGATCTCAAGAAAATGCTAGGGGAGGCCGGGCGCAGTGGCTCACGCCTGTAATCCCAGCACCTTGGGAGGCCGAGGCAGGTGGATCACGAGGTCAGGAGATCGAGACCATCCTGGCTAACAAGGTGAAACCCCGTCTCTACTAAAAAATACAAAAAAAAATTAGCTGGGCGTGGTGGCGGGCGCCTGTAGTCCCAGCTACTCAGGAGGCTGAGGCAGGAGAATGGTGTGAACCCGGGAGGCGGAGCTTGCAGTGAGCCGAGATCGCGCCACTGCACTCCAGCCTGGGCGACGGAGCGAGACTCCGTTTCAAAAAAAAAAAGAAAAAGAAAAAGAAAATGCTAGGGGCTAGAACTGACTGGGTTTATTGATGAATTGGATATTGTGGGGAAGGGTGCAGTCTAGGAAAGTGACTGCAGCGTGACTCCTGGGGTGATCAGAACTACAATTTCTCCAGCTTCTCTGGGGCCTCACAGAGCCACACTGTGTTTGACAGGCTGTTCCCAGGATGCGGGTGTTTTTATGTGATTAGGCTGGAACTGTTCTCTGGGAAATAAATGCCCTCAGTCTAAAGGGCTTTTACGAGCCAGGGCAGGGGATTAAAGGCGGCCGGGCTGTGGAGAAATCCCAGGGTTAGGAGACAGCTGAGCATGGAGACTTTTAATCTAAACCTTAAACGTTTTTATTTTCCACTCCTTGAACTCAGGGTGTCACTTTAAATACATGTTTGGCAACATCAGCTGTTCTATTTTTCTTTTTAATTATACAAAGCGAGATCCTGGAAATGGCTCAGCCCCAGGCTGGGGGAGGCAAGGGAAGTTTGGCAATGGTAGGAGGCAGAGAAACCAACTAAAAATCTAGTGGATTTGAAATCCTTTTGAGGGAGCACAGAGGCCAAACTTCGAGCCACCCTGAACTTGGTAAGAGCTGCCCTGACTCAGGATTTCTAAAAGGAGACCGACAGACTCACCAGCTTAGAATGGAGAGAGGACAGATGGACACGTCTCCAAGACAAAAATATCACCAGCCCTAGCACTGTTCCTGTACCTCGAATTTATTCCCAGGCCCTGTCCTGTTAGCTCAGCTCTTTTCATTTCTTTTCTTCTTTCTTTCTCTTTCTTTCTTTTCTTTCTTTCCCTTTCTTCTTGCTCTTTCTTTCTTTTCTTTTCTTTCTTTCTCTTTTTCTCATTTCTTTTCCTCTTTCTCTCTCTCTCTTTTTTTTTTTTTATTAGAGGCAGGGTTTTACTATGTTGCCCAGGCTGGTCTTGAACTCCTGGGCTCAAGCGATCCTCCTGCCTCAGCCTCCCAAAGTACTGGGATTACAGGTGTGAGCCACTGTGCCTGGCCCTGTTACCTCCTTTCATCCTCTGAGCAGAAAACAGCTAACTAGGTTGTTCATGACATCTATGGGGTACTCCCTACTGTGTGCCAGCTGCTGGGCTCACCTGCTTACACGTGTTACACTGTTGTAGGCAGTCAGCTATTCTATAAGTAGGTGCTATTATTATCCCCGTTTTCTAGATGGGGAATCTGGAATCTCCAGAGAGAACGGATGGAACCCCCACACCCCAGTGTTGGGCCTGCACTTCTTTGCCCTTGGACCCCTCCCTTGCCTTTCTCTAGCCTTGCTCCAGATCACAGGGTGGCCAACCTTTGGCAGGGTGGCTTCCTGCACAGATGGACCAACTGGAGGCAGTGCCAGGAGCCTGGTGGGTGGGAGGAGCCTGGTGGTGGGAGGAGCCTGGTGGGTGGGAGGAGCCAGGTGGTGGGAGGAGGGGAATCCAGGGTGTTCCTACCCCTCTGCCTCAGGTGGGATCTCCAGCTCCACCTCCCACCAGACAGGTCCACTGTGGCTCTGGCTTCTGCCTGAGGACTCCAGTCCCTCTTCGGTACCAGAAACACCACCCCCTGCCTCTGTCCCTCCAACCCCAGGGTGATAGCAGTCCTCCTGCTGGGGCTAACCTGGGGGCTGCCCTTCCCCTGCCTGCCTTTTCCTGTAAGTCTTCCATTACCCCTGGAGCAATTCTCAGGATAAATGCTCTTAGTGTGGTAACTGTTTGTCCTGGTCAGATTCTCACAGATATACTACCTTCACTAAAGACTTACAGATCAGTCAATTCATTCAATCTGGAAGGCAGCAATCCTCTTTCTCTGAGCACAGCACATCCCATGAGAGGGAAGGTTGGAGCCACCATTTACTGAGCGCTGTGCTAATTGCCAGACAACTTTTCTTTCATGAAACACTCATAACAACCTCTTTGCCAAGTCCCATCAATATTCCCCTTTCACAGATGGGGCTCAGAGAGGCTGGGGTGCTTGCCCAAAGTGGCACAGTTACAAACTGACAAAACTGGGATTCAAATCCAAGAGTGCCTAGCTCCAAACTCTGCATAATGATCTAATCTCATCTGAACACACTTGCAGCCCCATTAGAATTCAACTTCCTTGGCTGGCTGAAGACCCCACCCCAAATCACTCCAGCCTCCTTGTATTCTTTTCTTCTTCTTTTTTTTTTTTTTTTTTTGAGATGGAGTCTCACTCTGTTGCCCAGGCTGGAGTGCAGTGGCGCGATCTTGGCTCACTGCAAGCTCTGCCTCCCAGGTTCACGCCATTCTCCTGCCTCAGCCTCCCGAGTAGCTGGGACTACAGGCATCCGCCACCACGCCCAGCTAATTTTTTGTATTTTTAGTAGAGACAGGGTTTCACCATGTTAGCCAGGATGGTCTCGATCTCCTGACCTCGTGATCCGCCTGCCTTGGCCTCCCAAAGTCCTGGCGTGAGCCACCGCTCCTGACCTGTTTTTTGTTTTTTGTTTTTTTTTTTTTGAGACAGAGTCTCACTCTGTCACCCAGGCTGGAGTACAATGGCCTGATCTCAGCTCACTGCAACCCCCGCCTCCTGGGTTCAAACGATTCTTCCACCTCAGCCTCCCGAGTAGCTGGGACTACAGGCGTACACCACCATTCCCAGCTAACTTTTGTATTTTTTAGTAGAGACAGGGTTTCGCCATGTTGCCCAGGCTGGTCTCCTGACCGCAGGTGATCCGCCCACCTCGGCCTCCCAAAGTGCTGGGATTACAGGCGTGAGCCATCACGCCCGGCCCCCCCAAAAAAATTTTTTTAAGTCCCACAAACTGGGTGGCTTAGGAGAGAAACTTATTGTCTCACAGTTCTGGAGGCCAGAAGTCCAAAATCAAGATGTCAGCAAGGCCACGGTCCCTCGGAAGGAACCAGGGAAGGACATGCCCCAGGCCCTGCTGCTCGAGCTACCTGGCTTGTAGACGGCCGTCTTCTTGTGTCCATTCATGTGGTCTTCCCTCTGTACATGTCTGTCTGTGTCTAAATTTCCTCCTTTGTTTTTGTTTTTTGTTTTTTGTTTTTTTTTTCTGACAGAGTTTCGCTCTTGTTGCCCAGGCTGGCGTGCAGTGGTGCGATCTTGGCTCACTACAACCTCCTCCTCCCGGGTTCAAGCCATTCTCCTACCTTAGCCTCCCGAGTAACTGGGATTACAGGCACATGCCACCACGCCCGGCTAATTTTGTATTTTTAGTAGAGATAAGTTTTCTCCATGTTGGTCAGGCTGGTCTCCAACTCCTGACCTCAGGTGATCCGCCCGCCTCGGCCTCCCAAAAGGCTGGGATTACAGGCGTGAGCCACGGTGCCTGGCTGTTTTTGTCTTTTTTGAGACAGGGTCTCACACTGTTGCCAAGGCTGGAGTGCAGTGTCACGCTCACAGCTCAGTGCAGCTTTGACCTCATGGGATCAAGCAATGCTCCTGCCTCAGCCTCACTAGTAGCGGGAACCCCAGACAAGAGCCACTGCTCCTTGCAAATTTCACACTTCTCCTTTTTATAAGGATATTAGTAATATTGGAAGAGGGCTGTATGAGTCTGTTCTGTCATTGCTATAAAGAAATACCAAGCTGGGCACGGTGACTCACACCTGTAATTCCAGCACTTTGGGAGGCCCAGGCCAGCAGATCACCTGAGGTCAGGAGTTCGGGACAAGTCTGGCCAAAATGGGGAAACCCTGTCTCTACTAAAACTACAAAACATTAGTCGGACGTTGTGGCAGGCGCCTATAATCCCAGCTACTCGGGAGGCTGAGGCAGGAGAATCGCTTGAACCCAGGAGGTGGAGGTTGCAGTGAGGCGAGATTGCACCACTGCACTCCAGCCTGGGCAACAAGCACAAAATTCCATTTAGAAAAAAAAAAAAAAAAATGAAAAGAAATACCTGAGGCTGGGCACCATGGTTCACGCCTGTAATCCCAGCATTTTGGGAGGCCGAGGCGGACAGATCATTTGAGGCCAGGAGTTCGAGACCAGCCTGGCCAACATGGCGAAACCCCCTCTCTACTAAAAATACAAAAATTAGCCGGGCGTGGTGATGCACTCCTGTAATCCCAGCTACTCGGGAGGCTGAGGCAGGAGAATTGCTTGAACCAGGGAGGTGGAGGTTGCAGTGAGCCAACATTGAGCCACTGCACTCCAGCCTGGAAGACAGAGCGAGACTCCATCTCAAAAAAAAAAAAAAAAAAAATACCTAGGCCGGGCACAGTGGCTCACGCCTGTACTCCCAGCACTTTGGGAGGCTGAGGCAGGTGGATCACGAGGTCAGCAGTTCAACCTGCCGGTCCAAGATGGTGAATCCTCATCTCTACTAAAAATACAAAAATTAGCTGGGCGTGGTGGCAGGCACCTGTAATCCCAGCTACTCGGGAGGCGGAGGCAGAGAATTGCTTGCACCCAGAGGCGGAAGTTAAAGTGAGCCCAGATCGCGCCACTGCACTCCAGCCTGGGCAACAGAGTGAGACTCTGTCTCGAAAAAAAAAAAGAAAAAGAAATACCTAAGACTGAGTAATTTATAAAGAAAAGAGGATGAATACAAAAAAATCAGCTGGGCGTGGTGGCAGTCGCCTGTAGTCCCAGCTACTCCGGAGGCTGAAGCAGGAGAATGGCCGTGAACCCGGGAGGTGGAGCTTGCAGTGAGCTGATATTGCGCCACTGCACTCCAGCCTGGGCGACAGAGCGAGACTCCGTCAAAAAAAAAAAAAGAAAGAAAGAAAGAAAGAAAAGAGGATTAATTGGCTCTTGGTTCGGAAGGTTGTGCAGGAAACATTGCAGCATCTGCTTCTGGGGAGGCCTCAAGAAGCTTCCAATCATGGCGGAAGGCAAAGGAGGAACCAGCCCTTCACATGGCGGGAGCAGGAGGAAGAGAGGGGCGGGGAGGTGCTATACACTTTTAAACAACCAGATCTCACTCACTGTCATAGCACCAAGAGGATGGTGCTAAACCATTCATGAGAAACTGGCCCCGTGATCCAATCACCTCTCACCAGGCTCCATCTCCAACACTGGGGATTACAATTGAACATGAGATTTGGGTGGGGACACAGATCCAAACGAAATAAGTGCCCACCCTATGACCTCATTTTAATTTGATTACCTCTGTAAAGGCTGTATTTCCAAATGAGGTCACATTCTTCGTTTTTTTTTGTTTGTGGTTTTTTTTTTTTTTTTTAGAGAGTTTCACTCTTTCGCCCAGGCTGGAGTGCAATGGCACAATCTCAGCTGACTGCAACCTCTGCCTTCCAGTGTCAAGAGATTCTCCTGCCTCAGCCTCCCAAGTAGCTAGGATTACAACAGTCGCTTGCCTTCACACCCAGCTAATTTTTGTATTTTTAGTAGAGATCGGGTTTCACCATGTTGGCCAGGCTGGTCTCCAACTCCTGACCTCCTGATCCACCCTCCTCGGCCTCCCAAAGTGCTGGGATTACAGATGTGAGCCACCGTGCCTGGCCACAGTCTTCTTCTTTTGTTTTTTTTTGAGACGGAGTCTCGCTCTGTCACCCAGGCTGGAGTGCAGTGGCGTGATCTCGGCTCACTGCAAGTTCTGCCTTCCAGGTTCACGCCATTCTCCTGCCTCAGCCTCCCGAGTAGCTGGGACTACAAGCACCTGCCACCATGCCTGGCTAATTTTTTGTATTTTTTTCATTAGAGACGGGGGTTTCACCGTGTTAGCCAGGATGGTCTCGATCTCCTGACCTCGTGATCCGCCTGCCTCGGCCTCCCAAAGTGCTGGGATTACAGGCGTGAGCCATCGTGCCCAGCCGGCCACATTCTTCTTTTTGAGGTGGAGTTTCACTCTTGTCTGCCGGGCTGCAGTGCAATGGCGCAATCTTGGCTCACTGCAACCTCCACCTCCTGGCTACTTTTTGTATTTTCAGTAGAGATGGGGTTTCACCATGTTTGCCAGGCTGGTCTTGAACTCCTGACCTCAGGTGATCCGCCTGCCTCAGTCTCCCAAGGTGTTGAAATTACAGGCGTGAGCCACTGCGCCCAGCCCCAAATGAGGTCACATTCTGAGGTACTGAGGTTTAGGACTGCAATGTCTTTTTTGGGGGGACACAGTTTAACCTTTAAGAGTCCAACCTGATCTCATGTGTCTGATCTCTGCAGTGTGGCCTGCTTTGCTAATAGAGGATGTCAGACCGTCCAGGAAAATGATCCTGCTGACACCCACCAAGTTAAGGGATATAGTGATTCTCCAAGGCATATGTGTATTGACAAAATTTACCCCAACATTCTGTACAGCAAATTCAGTTTTGAAAAAGGAGAACTAGACTAGGCGTGGTGGCTCATGCCTGTAATCCAGCACTTTGGGAGGCTGAGGTGGGTGGATCACCTGAGGTCACGAGTTCAAGACCAGCCTGACCAACATGTAGAAACCTCGTCTCTACTAAAAATGTAAAAATTACCCGGGCGTGGTGGTGCATGCCTGTAATCCCAGCTACTCGGGAGGCTGAGGCAGGAGAATCACTTGAATCCAGGAGGTGGAGGTTGCAGTGAGCTGAGATCATGCCATTGCGCTCCAGCCTGGGCAACAAGAGCAAAACTCCGTCTCAAAAAAAAAAAAAAAAAAAGAAAGAAAGAAAAGAAAAGAAAAAGAGAACTAGGCTGGGTAGGTTAGCTCACGCCTGTAATCCCAGCATTTTGGGAGGCCATGGCAGGAGGATCGCTTGTGTCCAGGAGTTTTGAGACTGGCCTAGGCAACATATTAGATCCCATCTTTATAAATAATAAAAAATTAGCCAGGTGTGGTGGTGTGTGCATGTAGTCTCAGCTACTTGGCAGGCTGAGGTGGGAGGGTCACTTGAACCCAGGAGGTCAAGGCTGCAGTGAGCCATAATCGTGCCTCTGGACTCCAGTCTAGGCAACAGAATGAAACTTCATCTCAAAACAACAACAACAAAAAAGAAGCTGGTCACAGTGGCTCTAGCCTTTAATCCCAGCACTTTGGGAGGCTGAGGCAAGCGGATCGCTTGAGCCCAGGAGTTCAAGACCAGCCTGGGCAACGTGGCAAGACCCCCTGTCTCTACAAAAAAAAAAAAAAAAAAAAAAACACAAAAATTAGCCAGATGTGGTGATGCAGGCCTGTAGCCCTAGCTACTTGGGAGGCTGAGCTGAGAGGATCACTTGCACCCGGGAGGCAGAGGTTATAGTGGGCTGAGATTGTGCCACTGCACTCCAGTCTGGGCAAGAGACCAAGACCCCTGTGAAAAAAAAAGAAGGAAGGAAGGAAGGGAGGAAGGGAGGGAGGGAACAAGTTGAAGGTCTTACCTCTACCTGACTTTAAGACTTATTTTGAGGCCGGGCGTGGTGACTCATGTCTGTAATCTCAGCACTTTGGGAGGCTGAGGTGGGTGAATAACCTGAGGTCAGGAGTTCCAGACCAGCCTGGCCAACACGGCGAATCCCTGTTTCTACTAAAAATACAAAAATTAGCTGGATGTGGCAGCAGGCACCTGTAATCCTAGCTACTCGGGAGGCTGAAGCAGGAGAATCGCTTGAACCCGGGAGCCGAGGTTGCAGTGAGCCCAGAACGTGCCATTGCACTCCAGCCTGGGCAATAGAGAGAGACTCTGTCTTAAAAAAGAGACTTTTTTTTTTGAGACAGGGTCTTGCTCTGTCACCCAGGCTGAAGTGTAGTGGCCCCGTCTCGGCTCACTGCAACCTCCACCTCCCAGGTTCAAGCAATTCTCCTGCCTCAGCCTCCCGAGTAGCTGGGACTACAGGTGCGTGCCACCACATCCGGCTAATTTTTGTATGTTTAGTAGAGACAGGATTTCACTGCGTTGACCAGGCTGGTCTCAAACTCCTAACCTCGTGATCCGCCCGCCTCGGCCTCCCAAAGTGCTGGGATTACAGGCGTGAACCACCATGCCCGGCCGAGACTTTTTTTTTTTTAATTTTGAGGAATTTATGGGGTTTTTTTTCCCCAAGACTTATTTTATTTTTATTTATTTATTTATTAATTTATTTACTTTTTTTTTTTTTTTTGAGATGGAGTCTCACTCTGTCACCCAGGCTAGAGTGCAATGGCGCGATCTCAGCTCACTACAAGCTCTGCCTCCCGGGTTCATGCCATTCTCCTGCCTCAGCCTCCAGAGTAGCTGGGACTACAGGCGCCTGCCACCACGCCTGGCTAATTTTTTGTATTTTTAGTAGAGATGAGGTTTCACCGTGTTAGCCAGGATGGTCTCGATCTCCTGACCTTGTGATCGGCCCGCCTCGGCCTCCCAAAGTGCTGGGATTACAGGCATGAGCCACTGCGCCCGGCCAATTTATTTACTTTTGAGACGGAGTCTTACTCTGTCGCCCAGTATGGAGTGCAGTGGCGTGACCTCGGCTCACTGCTACCTCCGTCTCCCGGGTTCAAGGGTTCTCCTGCCTTAGCCTCCCAAATAGCTGGGACTACAGGTGCGGGCCACCATGCCCAGCTAATTTTTGTATTTTTAGTAGAGATGAGGTTTCACCATGTTGGTCAGACTGGTCTCAAACTCCTGACCTCAAGTGATCCGCCCACCTTGGCCCCCCCAAAGTACTGGGGTTACAGGTGTGAGCCACCACGCCCTGCCCCCAAGATTTACTTTAAACCTAGAGTAATCAACACAGTATCTATTGGCATGAGAGTAGACAAATAGATCCACAGACTAGAATAGAGAGTTCAGAAACAGTCTGTCATGTATAGTAGTCACGTGATTTTTGACAAAAATGTCCATGCATTTCAGTGGGGAAAGCTTGCTTCACTCAAAAATCTGTATTTGATTGATGGGCTATAGGCTCAGCTACTTGAGAAGCTGAGGCAGGAGTGAGAATCACTTGAGTCATGAATTTGAGGCTGTAGTGTGCAATGATCACACCTATGAAGAGCCACTGCACTCCAGCCTGGGCAACAGAGCAAGACCTTGTCTCTAAGAAAAAAACAGAAATAGAAAAAAATCAGTATGACACGGATCACAGACCTAAACATACAAGCAAAAACACTTTTATTTTTGGCGGGGTGGGTGGAGGGTAGAGACAGGGTTCCACTATGTTGCCCAGGCTGGTCTCAAACCTCCTGGTCTCAAGTGATCCTCTCGACCTGGCCTCCCCAGGTGCTGAGATTATAGGCATGAGCCACCATGCCTGGCCTAAAACTTTTAAAAGAAAACACAGGTGAATATCTTCGTGACCTTGTGGTTGGCAAAGATTTCTTTTTTTCTTTTTTTTTTTTTTTAAATAGAGTCTTACTCTATGGCCCAGGCTGGAGTGTAATGGTGTGATCTCAGCTCACTGCAACCTCCGCCTCTTGGGTTCAAGTGATTCTTGTGCCTCAGCCTCTTGAATAGCTGGGATTACAGGCATGTGCCACCATGCCCGGATAATTTTTGTATTTTTAGTAGAGATGCAGTTTCACCATGCTGGCCAGGCTGGTCTCGAACTCCTGACCTCAGGTGATCCGTCCACCTCAGCCTCCCAAAATGCTGGGATTACAGGCATGAGTCACCGCGTCGTCAGCAAAGATTTCTTATCCAGGCCAGAAAAAGTTCTCACTTTTAAAGGCATGGGCACAAACTCAGACCCAACAAAGACTTCTGACCAGTGAGGGGGTAGGAGTGGAGGGAGGAAGAATGAGCACTATAAGCCCAGAAACTGGAGAGCAAGGAGACAGAGTTCACACTCCCCTGGCATAGTCTAAGCTCCAGAGTCAGAGAACCATTCTGAGACCAACACCAGGGCTCACCAACCCGACCCCATTCTGCATTTTGTAACCAGCCCCCTGACAGTGTCTCACTTGGTTTCCAGCCTCCTTCACCCCAATTCTTTGACCATGAAAACCTTCAAGATCACTCACAAAAGCTGCCTCCCAGATGTCTTGTGGAGCTGGCACCAGGGCTGGCTGGCAGAGGGATTTCATGCATTCTGAGTCAGGACACAAGGAAGGACTGACAGGGAAGCTGCCCCCAGCTCCATACAAGGACAACTTTTGAAGTATCAGACAACCAATCAGACATGCTCAGCTTCTAGAAGGAGTGAGCTTCCCATCGCCAGGGGTATGAAAACATTGTTCTAGCCGGGCTTGGTGGTGCATGCCTGTGGAGCCCAGGAGTCCGAATGCAGCCTGGGTAACACAATGAGACCCCTGTCTCCCCACCACCAAAAAAAAAAAAAAAACTGTGGGGAAAAGTTAGTAACCATGGACCCCTCTAGGATCCTGGGGCAGGAGGCAGGGATGGTCCAGACACCCCACCCAAGTTTTTATTACTTGTGATCTGTGCAGATGGGGAAATTCAAACCACACAGAATATTAGGAGAGGGGTGAGGAGCGTGACATAGTAGCTGGGGAAAGGAAACCCTCACCACCCCAAAGCCCCCTCTGAGTCACCACTCCCAGATCCTTTTGTTCCTCTAAAATCAGCAAATCTCTCCTCCCAGCTTCCGGCCTCTTCCCCCTCCAGACCTCAGGCCCTCTTAGCTGCTAAATGTTGTGTGTTCCTAGTCCTGAACTGGGGGTTTCTGGGAACCAAGGACATTGCATTGTTTTGTTCATTGAACCTGTTTCCATTGGCAGTAGCCAGTGGGAGGCCCTGGGGTGATAGCGACGTGATTGATTGATTGATTGATTTTGAGAGACTGAGTCTCCCTCTGTCGCCCAGGCTGGAGTTCAGTGGCAGGATCTCGGCTCACTGCAACTTTCGCCTCCTGGATTCAAGCAATTCTTCTGCCTCAGCCTCCGGAGTAGCTGGGATTACAGGCCTGGCCACCACACCCAACTAATTTTTTCTTTTTTGAGATGGAGTCTAGCTCTGTCACCCAGGCTGGAGTGCAGTGGTGTGATCTCGGCTCATTGCAACCTCTGCCTCCCGGGTTCAAGCAATTTTCCTGCCTCAGCCTCCCAAGTAGCTGGGACTACAGGTGTGTGCCCCCACGCTCGACTAATTTTTGTATTTTTAGTAGAGACGGGGTTTCACCATGTTGGCCAGACTGGTCTCAAACTCCAGACCTCGTGATCTGCCCGCCTTGGACTCCTAAAGTGCTGGGATTACAGGTGTGAGCCACCGCGCCCGGCTAATTTTTTCTTATTTTGACACAGGGTCTTACTCTGTCGCCCAGGCTACAGTGCAGTGGCGTGATCTCTGCTCACTCCAACCTCTGCCTGCCGGGTTCAAGCACTTCTTCTGCCTCAGCCTCCCAAGTAGCTGGGATTATAGGCATGCACCACCAAGCCCGGCTAATTTTTGTATTTTTAGAAGAGATGGGCTTTTACCATGTTGACCAGGCTGGTCTTGAACTCCTGACCTCAGGTGATCCACCTGCCTCAGCCTCCGAAAGGGCTGGAATTACAGGCGTGAGTCACCGTGCCCGGCCTAATTTTTGTATTTTTAATGGAGACGGAGTTTCGCCATGTTGGCCAGGCTGGTCTCAAACTCCTGACCTTAAGTGATCTACCGCCTCGGCCTCCCAAAGTGTTGGAATTATAAGCATGAGCCACCACACCTGGCCCATGATTCATTTATTTATTTAGTTGTTTTTTCTTTGAGACAGGATCTCGCTTTATTGCCTAGGTTGGAGGACAGTGGTGTGATCACCGCAGCTTCATTCCAAGAAGCTGGGAGTACAGGCTCACGCCACCACATCTGGTTTATTTATTTATTTATTGAGACAGAGTATTGCTTTTATTGCCCAGGCTGGAGTGCAATGGCATAATCTCATCTCATCGCAAACTCCACCTCCCGGGTTCAGGCGGTTCTCCTGCCTTAGCCTCCCAAGTAGCTGGGATTACAGGCATGCGCCACCACACCAGCTAATTTTTGTATTTTTAGTAGAGACGAGGTTTCTCCATGTTGGTCAGGCTGGTCTTGAACTCCTGTCCTCTCAGGTGATCCGCCCACCTCAGCCTCCCAAAGTGCTGGGATTACAGGTGTGAGCCACCGTGCCTAGTCTTATTTATTTATTTATTTGGAGACAGAGTCTCGCTCTGTCGCCCAGGCTGGAGTGCAGTGGCACCATCTTGGCTTACTGCAAGCTCCGCCTCCCGGGTTCACGCCATTCTCCTGCCTCAGCCTCCCAAGTAGCTGGGACTACAGGCGCCCGCCACCACACCCAGCTAATTTTTTTGTATTTTTAGTAGAGACGGGGTTTCACCGTGTTAGCCAGGATGGTCTCAATCTCCTGACCTCGCGATCCGCCGGTTTCAGCCTCCCAAAGTGCTGGGATTATAGGTGTGAGCCACCGCGCCTGGCCTTTTTTTTTTTTTTTTTTTTTAAGTAGAGATGTGCTACTGCACTCCAGCCTGGGTGACTATTGAGACCCTGTCTCAATAAATAAATAAATAAATAAATAAATAAATAAATAAATAAATAAGGCCAGGCGCAGTGGCTCACATCTGTAATCCCAGCACTCTGGGAGGCTGAGGCAGGCAGATCATCTGAGTTCAGGAGTTCGAGACTAGCCTGGACAACATGGTGAAACCCTGTCTCTACTAAAAATATAAAAAATTAGCTGGGTGTGCTGGTGGGCACCTGTAATCCTAGTTACTCAGGAGGCTGAGGCAGAAGAATCGCTTGAACCTAGGAATTGGAGGTTGCAGTGAGCTGAGATTGAGCCACTACGCTCTAGCCTGGGGGACAGAGCGAGACTCCATCTTAAAAATAATAAAAATAAAAATAAAATAAAATGTTTAAATACGTTGGGCACAATGGTTTACACCTGTAATCCCAGCACTTTGGGAGGCTGAGATGGGTGGATCACTTGAGGTCAGGAGTTCGAGACCAGCCTGGCCAACATGGTGAAACCCTGACTCTACTAAAAATACAAAAAATTAGCTGGGTGTGGTGATGGACACCTGTAATCCCAGTTATTTAGGAGGCTGAGCCAGAATAATCGGTTGAACCCAGGAGGCGGAGGTTGCAGTGAGCCGAGATCGAGCCACTGCACTGCAGCCTGGGGAACAGAGAGAGACTCTGTCCTAAAATAATAATAAAATAAAATAAAATGTTTGAATAGGCTGGACACAGTGGCTCATGCTTGTAATTCCAGAACTTTGGGAGGCCCAGATGGGAGGATCCCTTGAGCCCAGGAGTTTGAGACCAGCATGCTCAACATGGGGAGACGCTGTCACTATTATTTTTTATTGGAGACGGAGTCTCCCTCTGTCGCCCAGGCTTGAGTGCAGCAGCCTGATCTCAGCTCACTGCAACCTCTGCCTCCTGCGTTCAAGCAATTATCCTACCTCAGCTTCCCCAGTTGCTAGGATTATAGGCGTGCCCCATCATACCTGGCTAATTTTTTTTGTATTTTTAGTAGAGATGGGGGTTTCACCATGTTAGCCAGGCTGGTCTCGAACTCCTGACCTTAGGTGATCCACCCGCTTGGGCCTTCCAAAGTGTTGGGATAACAGGTGTGAGCCACCGCGCCTGGCCACACTTTTTTTTTTTTTTAATGCTTAAACAGATGAACAGGTCAACTAAATAAGCTAGATGATTTCAGATGCTGTAGTGATCACAGCTATAAAGGGAAGAAATCAGGATGAGGTGACAGATTGTGACACCGGGGCTACTTCAATAGAGGGAAGGTCTCTCAGGAGGTGCTATTTGAGCTGAGACACAAATGTTGAGTGAAAGGGGTAAGAAGTACAAAGGCGGGCCATGGCGCGGTGCGTCACGCCTGTAATCCCAGCACTTTGGGAGGCTGAGGCGGGTGGATCACCAGGTCAAGAGATCGAGACCATCCTGGTCCATATGGTGAAACCCCGTCTCTACTAAAAATACCAAAAATAGCTGGGCGTGGTGGCGCGCGCCTGTAGTCCCAGCTACTCGGCAGGCTGAAGCAGGAGAATTGCTTGAACCCGGGAGGCGGAGGTTGCAGTGAGCCGAGATCGCTCCACTGCACTCCAGCCTGGTGACAGAGTGAGACTCCGTCTCAAAAAAAAAAAAAAAAAAGTACAAAGGCCACCAGGGAAACAAAGCCAGTAGGGTGAGATTTCAAATTCCAAATTCCCCAATTTTTTTTTTTTTTTTTGAGAGGGACTCTCGCTCTGTCGCTCAGGCTGGAGTGCAGTGGCTCGATCTCGGCTCACTGCAAGCTCCGCCTCCCAAGTTCAAACGATTCTCCTGCCTCAGCCTCCCTGGTAACTGGGACTAGGGAGTCACCTGACTAATTTTTTTAGTAGAGACAGGGTTTCACCATGTTGGCTAGGCTGGTCTGGAACTACTGACCTTGTGATCTGCCTGCCTCGGCCTCCCAAAGTGTTGGGATTATAGGCGTGAGTCACCGCGCCCGGCCCCCATCTTTATTTTAAAAAAGCCAAGAAAAGGACAAAAAACCAAACACCGCATGTTCTCACTCATAGGTGGGAATTGAACAATGAGAACACATGGACACAGGAAGGGGAACATCACACTCCGGGGACTGTTGTGGGGTGGGGAAAGGGGGGAGGGATAGCATTAGGAGATATACCTAATGCTAAATGACGAGTTAATGGGTGCAGCACACCAACATGGCACATGTATACATATGTAACTAACCTGCACATTGTGCACATGTACCCTAAAACTTAAAGTATAATAATAATAAAATTAAATTTTAAAAAAAAAGCCAAGAAAGGGCTCTGCGGGAACCAGAGACTTCTTGGGGGCAGAGGTTTTCATCCCACAACGGTTGGGTGGGGGCGCGCCCTCTAGTGGTGACAAGAGTTACGTTTCACCCCGCCAACCGGCAATGTCACATGCTCGTCACTCATTCCTGTCTCTCCCATAGTTATTCATTCAACAAAAAATTACTGAGGACCGATTGTATGCCGAGGAATATTCTAGATGCTGAGGGTAGAGCTGTGAAGCTGATAGTAAAGGTCCCTGCCCCGGAGTTTACCTCCTAGGAGACATTCCCTAGCACAGTCCTGCATACACCCCCACCTCACCTCTGCTCCCCAAAATTGGCCTTCCAACGCTCCAACAGCCAAATATCCCTGCTTAAAGGTCTTGGCATGAGCAGTTCCCTCGCCGTCCTGGAAAGCTAGATCCTGTCTGTTTGCATGGCGGGCTCTGGTCTCAGCTTAAATGTGACCTAAGTCAGAAAGGTGTGATCTCACTTATTTCCTGCCCCTCTCCACACTCCACTAAAATATAATATTCGGGCCGGGCATGGAGGCTCATGCCTGTAATCGCAGCACTTTGTGAGGCCGAGGCGGGCGGATCTCCTGACGTCAGGAGTTCCAGGCTAGCCTGGCCAACATGGCAAAACCCCGTCTCTACTAAAAATACAAAAATTAGCCAGGTGTGGTGGCGGGCGCCTGTAATCCCAGCTACGCAGCAGGCTGAGGCAGGAGAATCGCTTGAACCGGGAGGTGGAGGTTGCAGTGAGCCAAGATCGCGCCATTGCACTCCTCCAGCCTGGGCGACAAGAGCAAAACCCTGTCTCAAAAAAAAAAAAAAAAAAAAAATATATATATATATATATATATATATATATATACACACACACACACATATATATACATATATATGTGTATATATGTGTGTGTGTATATATATATATAAAATATTCAATGAAGGTTATCATTTTCCTGGAATCCCTCAGCGTAGCACGTAATAGTTGCTCAGAAGACACTTGCTGAATAGGTTTGAAGATTCACTGGTTTAAAAAATATCAGGTGGCCGGGCACGGTGGCTCACGCTTGTAATCCCAGCACTCTGGGAGGCCGAGGCGGGCGGATCACAAGGTCAGGAGTTTGAGACCAGCCTGGCCAATATGGTGAAACCCCATCTCTACTAAAAATACAAAAATTAGCAGGGCATGGTGGCGGGAGCCTGTAATCCTAGCTACTCGGGAGGCTGAGGCAGGAGAATTGCTTGAACCCAGTAATAAAAAAATAATAAATCAGGAACCGGTCACCTCAATACGTATCAGATGCTGGTGAACACAGGTGGACAAAGTGGTTAACAGACAGGTTTTGTCCATCTCGTTCACCACCCTACCCAGCCTCAGCACCTAGACCAGTGTTGGCACCCAGTGGGCGCCAAATAAACACTGCTTGAACTCCAGACGTCAGCCGCTCTTTTTCCTACAGACCTTGAGCCACCTTGTTCCAAAGGGGATATGGGCCTCAGGAGGCGCCCAGAGGTGACCTCAGGCGGCCCGACCCAGGAGTCCAAGCTCCAGGAGCAGGGCCACGGGAGCAGCTGCGGAGAGGGGCGGCGCCAGGAGCCGGAGCGGGCAGCCGGGCGCTTCCAGGAAAAGTGGCGGGCGGCGGCGCGCCAGGGACCGTGGGCGGTGCCGTCGGAGCGGGCGGGTCACGTGACGCCCACAACAACGCCCACTTCTTGGTGGGCGGGGCACAGGTGGGCGGGGAGCATGCAAAACAGCCCAGGGCGGCGGCCAATCGCGGCGCGCGCCGGGGGTCCAGGCCCCGGGGATCCGAGGCGCCGCCCGCGCGCAGTCTCTGGTCACTGCCGCCCGGGGGCTTTTGCCAGCGGCGCCGCGGGCCTGCGTGCTGGGGCAGCGGGCACTTCTTCGACCTCGTCCTCCTCGTCCTGTGCGGCCGGCCGGGTGAGGCCGGGCCCGCGTAGGGGGCAGTCGGCGGCTGCCTCCGGCGGAGGTGCCTCGCGGCGCCCGGGCCGGCCCGCGCCTCGGCGGCGTGCTCCATGCATCCGGAGCCCGCCCCGCCCCCGAGCCGCAGCAGTCCCGAGCTTCCCCCAAG
This sequence comes from Homo sapiens, assembly GCF_000001405.40. Classification (NCBI taxonomy): domain Eukaryota; kingdom Metazoa; phylum Chordata; class Mammalia; order Primates; family Hominidae; genus Homo; species Homo sapiens. The sequence goes on from NW_018654719.1 coordinate 32,575, forward strand.
CGGCGGCAGCACCACCAGCGGCAGCCGCCGGAGCCGCCGCCGCAGCGGGGACGGGGAGCCCCCGGGGGCCCCGCCACCGCCGCCGTCCGCCGTCACCTACCCGGACTGGATCGGCCAGAGTTACTCCGAGGTGATGAGCCTCAACGAGCACTCCATGCAGGCGCTGTCCTGGCGCAAGCTCTACTTGAGCCGCGCCAAGCTTAAAGCCTCCAGCCGGACCTCGGCTCTGCTCTCCGGCTTCGCCATGGTGAGCTCCGGCCGCCCTGCCCTGCCCCCTCTACTGTCCCGGCTGCTCCCGCCCGCAGCCCCGACGGGGCTCTCTGGGCGGGCCGGGCGGGCCAGAGTGAGGGGAAGAGCTGGGAGAAACCGTGGTGAGCGCTGCGCGGGGGGCAGAGGTGCTGGACGTGAGCACTGGTGGGCGCCGAGTACTCCGATCTGGGGTGGTGACAAGCCATATCAGAGTCCGGGCTCGGGGTGCTTGGGTGCCTCCACATGGCCATGCCTGCCCCAGCAAGAGTGGTAGATGCATCCCGAAGTTAGCTCTGTAAGAAGCCCGCCCCATGTGCGTTCAGGAGCGAAAGGAGGGACTCAGAAGCTCTAACCCAGCTGGGGGCGTCAGGAGGTGGGGACAAGGAGAAAGACCTTGCGCTGTCTTGTGCCCCGGCACCCGAGGCCGGAAGTTGTTAGCCGTGTTCTTTTATCAGCTCCTAGAGGGGATTTCCTGACACCCCTTTTCCACCGCATTTTCCGAGAGCCTCAGCCTGGGGGTTTGACAACCAGTCCCCCTCAGTTTTTTCTCCAGAAACTTGCCACTGAGTCACTGCGTGTGAGGGAGGAGGGAGGGACATGTTCCCGTTGAATGGGCTCTTTATTTTTTATTTGTTCCAAGACGGAGTCTCGCTCTGTCGCCCAGGCTGGAGTGCAGTGGTGCAATCTCGGCTCACTGAAATTTCCACCTCCTGAGTTCAAGCGATTCTCATGCCTCAGCCTCCCGAGTAGCTGGGATTACAGGCTCGCGCCACCACGCCCGGCTAATTTTTGTGTTCTTAGTAGAGACGGGGTTTCACCCTGTTGGCCAGGCTGATCTTTAACTCTCGACCTCGTGATCTGCCAAATCTCGGCCTCCCAAAGTGCTGGGATTACAGGCGTGAGCTACCACACCCGGCCCAATGGGCTCTTTCTTGATCTAGGGCATAGGCATGCTTTCCTTTCCCCACCATCCCAAAGAGCTGGAGTGCAAAGCCTCTGAGGTGTGGGGTGGGTGAGGCTGCGGATGGGCCTGAGAAGTGGCTCTGGGGATACCCTCAGGCTTGGCATATTGAAGTTTCTCCGTTGCAGGGGACTACATAATAACTACATTATTACCACTCGGTGATATCAGCCTGCCATGAATGGACTCTGCTCCCCGCCCCTCAGTTCTGTAGACCAGAGCACTCCTGCCCCCGCCACCAGTGAGCTAAGCCCTTGGCCTTGAGGGAGGGAGTGGCTGCACCCTTCGTGTTTTCTTGGGAAGGGAGTGTGTCTGAAACTCTCCCTGCTTTGCCTTGCAGCAGAGCCTGAATTTTTTAAGGCCCAGAGCACGCTGGGCCACAGTGGAAAGGCCGGGAGATGGGGAGTGGGAAGCAGCCTTCCCTGCTCAGTTACTTGCTGCCTGTGTGACCTCAAGCAACTCACTCTCCCTGTCCGGGCCTCAATTCCTGAATTGATCAAAGAAGGCTGCTACTCAAAAGTTTCTCTGACTTTGAGAATAAAATTGAGGGAGCCCCTGAAAGGAGATCAGGGAGTGTGTTTGCATAAACAGACGGCACTCTCATTTTTAGTTTAGACAGGACGGACTTCTGCTCTGTTAATTTCAAATCCTAAGAGACCAGGTTCTGCCTGCTGCCTGAAGAATCTCTAAAAGCAGCTGGCATTTACTGAACACTCACTCAGTGCTAGGTGCCTTAACTCCTGGGCTTACTCAACAACCCTCTGTGGTGATTTTGTCAAAGGGCTCTCCCAAGACCGCACAGCCAGTCTGGTGGAGCGGGATTTGAACCCAGCTCTGCTGGTGTTCAGAACTTGCTCAGGCACTTGTACCCATTGCGGTGTATAGGAACTCTGATTGATGTCCAGCCAGGGATGTGTTAGGACACTAGGAAATGAGAAATAGGGCAAAAGAGTTTCTTTTTTTTTTTTTTTTTTTTTGAGACGGAGTCTTGCTCTGTCACCCAGGCTGGAGTGCAGTGGTGCGATCTTGGCTCACTGCAAGCTCTGACTCCTGGGTTCACGCCATTCTGCTGCCTCAGCCTCTGGAGTAGCTGGGACTACAGGCGCCCACAACCACGCCTGGCTAATTTTTTTTGTATTTTTTTAGTAGAGACGGGGTTTCACCGTGTTAGCGAGGATCGTCTCGATCTCCTGACCTCATGATCCACCCGCCTCGGCCTCCCAAAGTGCTGGGATTAGAGGCGTGAGCCACCGGCGCCCGGCCGCAAAAGAGTTTCTTTTAAGCCAAAGAAAGTTTTATAATTGGTGGTGGGGAGGGAGCTACCAGTTGTCAGCTTTTCCCTGCAGCGCTTGGTATTTAAGATAATGGTTCCCCCTTTTCTTGTGGTCATGAGTTTATAGCTGCCCCAGGCTCCTTCTCACTCCTGAGGGGTGAGATCCAGATGAATGACACTTTCCTGCCTTCTCAAGTCCCTTCTTCCTTTCGAAGACAGGCCTCATGGTCAAATGTCACCTCCTTCTCTTGCTAAAAACAGTGTGGGGAAGTCAGGAGACTGGGGCAGCCAGTGGCATGGAGTGGGCCTTGGCCCACCCAGTCTGTCTCTTGGGGACTTTTATTTTCCCCCACCTGGGTGGAGAAGGCTTCCTGGCACTACTGATGGAATCCCCAAAGTTCTGCAGGCAGGGAAGGACCGAACCCCATGATACTCTCCATTCTGCAGTTACAAGAAGGTAACTGCATGTGCCATGAAGTTGGAAATCTATAGGAGGGATGGGATTGGGTGCAGGGTCTGACCATGCCCCACTCCCACTTAGACACCCAGCCTGTAAGTGAGCTTGGGAGAGGAGAGGGTGCCAGCAGCCCCAACGCCATGGTAACAGAGTGACAAGTTTCCTGGATTACTCTCCCTTGGCTTATGAGTCAGCACAACCAACTTCCTGCCCCCAGAGGGCTTCCTTCCCAGAGACCTGGAAAGTCAGAGGAGCTGACTTGACCTTTGATTGCCAAGGGATGGGGTCAACCAGGTGAGATTGAGGGAGGGTCTCCCACAAATCCTGGAGGGGATTGAGAGGTTCCCCACTTCATGGGTAGAACAGCCTGGCCAGGTGGCCGGGAAGTGTTGGGGATGGCTGGTGGGTGACCTCAGGCAAGAGGCTTTACTTCTTTGAAGCCAGTTTTCTTTTCTTTTCTTTTCTTTTTTTTTGAGACGGAGTTTCCTCTTTGTTGCCCAGGCTGGAGTGCAGTAGCACAATCTCAGCTCACTGCAACCTCCACCTCCCAGGTTCAAGCGATTCTCCTGCCTCAGCCTCCCGAATAGCTGGGATTACAGGCACACACCACCTCACCTGGCTAATTTTTGTATTTTTAGTAGAGACGGGGTTTCACCATGTTGGCCAGGGTGGTCTCAAACTCCTGATCTCAGGTGATCCACCCGCCTCGGCCTCCCAAAGTGCTGGGATTACAGGTGTGAGCCACCATGCCTGGCTGAAGCCAGTTTTTTAATGTGTATGGAGATGGCAGGTATCCTGCTCTCCCATGGACTCATATGAAGGTTCATTATGAGGCCAGACTGGGCCCATGAAACACAGGAATTTTCAGGGTCTGATGATGCACACCTTGCCCGGACCCTCTCTGATCTGCAGATGAGATTCTTGCTCCACACGGCAGTTCTAGGAACAGCAGGCCTCAGGCGCACCATCCTCCAAACTCTAATGAGAGATACAAAGCAAGGGGGCCTGGATATAGCATAGGATCAGCATCCCGTAGAGCTCCTTAAGCCCAGAGTACTCTTGTGGGCTTTGATTCAGGTCCTCTGTGCCTCAGTTTATACTTCATTGAGAGGCAGCCAGCCTCAGCCTGACCCCGTCCCCTGCAGGACTGGCGAGCATATGTGGTGATCTTGTCTGCTGGGGAAGGCAGGCTGTAACATTAGCCTGAGCTGAAGATAATTGGGAAGGTCAGTCTGCTGCCGTAAACAAAATGCTTTCCATGACCTGGGATCAATTATTTTTGGATTATCTGCCTCCTCAGTTCTCTGCCCGCCAGCACCCTTTTGTTCCCAAGTTCTAGAGCTGGTTCAGAAGTTTCCTGTAATTTCTATGAAAATGAGTTGGAAGGAACGACTCAAGTCATAAGACACTGAGCCTCTGTGACGTGTTCAGAGTTCAGGGACCATGTAAATGAGCAAGAAATTGCTATTACTATTCCTAGTACTGATCACTGATAGTAATTATTATTGCTGTTGTTGATTGGGCTCTTGCAATAGGCTAGATGGTGCCCCACGTAGCATCTTGTGTGATCCTCCTATAAACCAGGTGAGTATAGGTGATGGTCATTGAGAGGAAAGACTTGCGCATGGTCACCTGGCTGGGAAGCTGCAGAGCCCTGTGGCTGTGGTGTAGCGCCATTGCTGTGGGAGAGAAAGCATCAGAGAGTGTAGGGGAACAGAGCTGAGAAGCTCAAGCAGGGTAAGGTCAGAACAGACACTTGAGCAAGACAACTTGGTTCAAATCCCAGCTCTACCTCTTATAAGGGCAAGACCTTAGGCAAGTCATTTAACCTTTCTGGGCCTCAGTTTCTTCATCTTTAAAATGGAGTACGGCCGGGCGCATTGGCTCACGCTTGTAATCCCAGCACTTTGGGAGGCCGAAGTGGGCGAATCACCTGAGGTCAGGAGTTCAAGACCAGCCTGGCCAACATGGTGAAACCCCATCTCTACTAAAAATACAAAAATTAGCCGGGTGTAGTTGTGCATACCTGTAATTCCAGCTACTCGGGAGGCTGAGGCAGAAGAATTGCTTGAACCTGGGAGGCGGAGGTTGCAATGAGCAGAGGTTGCACCACTGCACTCCAGCCTGGGCAACAGAGTGAGACTCCATCTCAAAAAAAAAAAAAAAAAAAATTTTTGCAGAGCACTTACAGTATCTGACCCGAGTATCCCAGAAACTTGCTTACCCTTTTTTCCATTGTGTTAGGGCTGCTAAGGGTTAACTGAGAAGAATCTGGTTCTTGCCGAGCCTTGAGTGTGGTGGAGTTAGGACTTGAGAAAGCCTTCAAGTCAAAGGAAATGGCAGGAACAGTTAAAGAAGAGAAATTACAGGGCCTAGGGGAAAGGTACAGGGGCTGTGGTTGGGGTTGAGGGTCTTCAGGAAGTAGTAGAGAACGGTGAATTTAGCCAGGCAAGATGATGGAGGGCCTTGATTGGGTGGGAAATTTGAACTCTTGGATAGGCAACAGGGAGCCATTGAAGGTTTTAGACAGGAGTTACATGATGAATTCTATGATGACGGTGGTGGTGGTTGTGATTACTGTTTACTGAAACCCTGTTGTGCCAGGCATGAGCCTGAACGCTTTTCTTTCATTCTTACTGAATCCTCACCATAGCTCTTAAAAGTATGTACTGTAAACAGGAAAACTAAGGCTCCTAGAAGTTAAGATTCTCCAGCTAGTAGAATTCCAGCTCTGGTCTTTCTGGCTGGGAGCCAGTTGAAGAGAAAGTCTGGGTCTGTGTCCCGCTGACCCTGTATGCAAATTCAGCCTATTCATGGCTTGTAACAAATTTACTAAGTTGCAACCAACACATTTTGTTGTTTCTTTCTTTTGATAACTTTGGTACCAAGCTCCTGGTCCTTTTTAGAATGAGATAAGGGTGAAATGAAACAAAGTCGCAGCACGCATTGCATCTTGCAAGACCTTACTGATGTGCTGTAAGGCTAAATGTTGATTGGTTAAACTTTTGTTTCTGTTATAAACGCGTGTGTGTCTATTTATAGAAACATTTGGAGTCCTGGACTGTCATGGTCAAGACTTTGTAAACCACTGCACACTAGGCCTCAATACCCTCTTAAGAGATGGTTTGCATTTGAGGTGGGGCCGGCAGGCTCAGACAGCTCCGGGTGACCCTGCATGGTTGCGGCCTAGAGGGCCTCATGTTCCAGGCTGCAGCCACCCACCCTCCTAAAAGGGTGGACAAGAAAAGAACTAGGCCAGGGGAAGGAAGGCTGTGGGACCTGAGGTCAGGCCCAGCATGGGAGGGCTGCCTCAGAGGGCCTGGACTTGCAGGCGCCAGGTGCCCAGGGTCTCCATGGAGCCCAGCAGGAGCCAGGAGAGATAGCTGGCAATCAGGCGAGGTGGGCTGACGGCTGGTATGGTCCGTCAGGGCCAGCCAGGCCTTGCCCTTCGCAGAATTATGTAACCCTCTTCTTGGCCCTTGCTAAGGTTTGGCATCTCTAGCCAAAACCCTATTGGGGGGATCCATGGACCAGTGTGAGGTGGAGCTGGTGGTCTTTTGCCTTTCCTATCCCTTATAGGGCTTGCCTCGCCAGGTTCAGGCGGCCAGTGGCTGGCGGGGGGCTGTTTATTTTGGGCTGACGGGCTATATTTACCTTGTGAAGCTGCGTGCGATCTGATCTGATCCAATCTTGCTGGGGCTCAGCTGGGGCTCTGGCAGTCAGCTGCCAGATCTGTAGGGCCCCTGGCCCTCCCCCTGCCACCCAAGGGGAGATTTCCAGAGCAGGAAGTATCCTGGAAAAAGTGGTGGCATTTATTCCTGTGACTTTTTCATCAAGCTCCATGACACATGCCAACCGTTCCTTTCTTCTCACTTTTTTTTTTCCCAGTTGCAAGATTTTATTAAAATTTTTTTTGTTTGTTTCTTAGAACTTTATTTATTTATTTATTTATTTATTTATTTATTTATTGATCATTCTTGGGTGTTTCTCGCAGAGGGGGATTTGGCAGGGTCATGGGACAATAGTGGAGGGAAGGTCAGCAGATAAACAAGTGAACAAAGGTCTCTGGTTTTCCTAGGCAGAGGACCCTGCGGCCTTCCGCAGTGTTTGTGTCCCTGGGTACTTGAGATTAGGGAGTGGTGATGACTCTTAACGAGCATGCTGCCTTCAAGCATCTGTTTAACAAAGCACATCTTGCACCGCCCTTAATCCGTTTAACCCTGAGTGGACACAGCACATGTTTCAGAGAGCACAGGGTTGGGGGTAAGGTCACAGATCAACAGGATCCCAAGGCAGAAGAATTTTTCTTAGTACAGAACAAAATGAAAAGTCTCCCACGTCTACCTCTTTCTACACAGACACGGCAATCATCCGATTTCTCAATCTTTTCCCCACCTTTCCCGCCTTTCTATTCCACAAAACCGCCATTGTCATCATGGCCCGTTCTCAATGAGCTGTTGGGTACACCTCCCAGACGGGGTGGTGGCCGGGCAGAGGGGCTCCTCACTTCCCAGTAGGGGCGGCCAGGCAGAGGCGCCCCGCACCTCCCGGACGGGGCGGCTGGCCGGGCAGAGGCTGCAATCTCGGCACTTTGGGAGGCCAAGGCAGGCGGCTGGGAGGTGGATGTTGTAGCGAGCCGAGATCACGCCACTGCACTCCAGCCTGGGCACCATTGAGCACTGAGTGAAGGAGACTCCGTCTGCAATCCCGGCACCTCGGGAGGCCGAGGCTGGCGGATCACTCGCGGTTAGGAGCTGGAGACCAGCCCGGCCAACACAGCGAAACCCCGTCTCCACCCAAAAGATACGAAAACCAGTCAGGCGTGGCGGCGCACGCCTGCAATCGCAGGCACTCGGCAGGCTGAGGCAGGAGAATCAGGCAGGGAGGCTGCAGTGAGCTGAGATGGCAGCAGTACAGTCCAGCTTCGGCTCGGCATCAGAGGGAGACTGTGGAAAGAGAGGGAGAGGGAGACTGTGGGGAGAGGGAGGGGGAGGGAGAGGGAGAGGGAGAGGGCCTTTCTTCTCACTTTGAATCATTCTTTTACACGGCCCCCTGAACCCTGTGGCATTGAACTTGGTTCCAAGTGTGGGCACATACAGCCTGCCTAAGTGGACGGAGTTCCAGGAATCGTAGGGTCTGGTGAGGGTAATGGGCTTTCTTCCGGAGCAGGGCAGCAGGCCCTTTCCTCTTCCTCGGAGAGCCCAGCCTCTCCCCTCTCCCCAGCCCAAAACCTCAGGGCTGGCGAGTGTGGGTGTCCCCGGGCCGTGTGCGTCCCAACAGCTGCACTGCTTTCTGGCCCTGGAGCCTGTGGGTGTGACAAATGGTGTGGAATGTGGTGGTCTCTGTCCTGTGGAGGTGGCCATCAGGCCAGGTGTGGCGTGGGGTACACATCCTTGTGGCCGAGGTTTGGAGCTGGAGCTGCCTCTAAATATAGCAAGCGAGGCCCCGAGTCGGGGTTGGAAGGTGGGTATGTGGGGTCCCTGTCTCCAGTCTGAGCTGAGGGTATCCAGGCACTATTTCTCTTCCATCCACTTCAAGCTCTGTTTTTCTCCTTTTTTCTTTTCTTTTCTTTTTTTTAGAGATAGAGTCCTGCTCTGTTGCCCAGGTTGTAGTGCAGTGATGGGATCATAGCTCACTGCAGCCTTGAACTCCTGGGCTCAAGGGATCCTCCTGCCTTAGCCTCTCAAGTAGCTGGGACTGGCCAGGTGCGGTGGCTCACACCTGTAATCCCAGCACTTTGTGAGGCTGAGGTGGGGAGATCATCTGAGGTCGGGAGTTCAAGACCAGCCTGAGCAACAAGGTGAAACCCCGTCTCTACTAAAAATACAAAAGTTAGCTGGGCATAGTGGCGGGCGCCTGTAATCCCAGCTACTCAGGAGGCTGAGGCAGGAGAATCGCTTGAACCCGGGAGGGGGAGGTTGCAGTGAGCCAAATTGTGCCAGCGCACTCCAGCCTGGGTGACAGAGTGAGACTCCATCTCAAAAAACAAAAAGTAGCTGGGGCTACAGTCATGCCCACTATATCCAGCTAATTTTTTTTTCTTTGTGTGTGTGTGTGTGTCTGTGTGTGTGTGTGAGATAGGGTCTCACTTTGTTGCCCAGGCTGGGGTGCAGTAGCGCAATCACGGCTCATTGTAGCCTCAACCTCCTGGGCTCAAGGGATTCTCTCACCTCAGCCTTCTGAGTAGCTAGGACTACAGGTATACTCACTACACCCAGCTAATTTTTTGATTTTGTAGAGATGAGGTCTCACTGTGTTGCCCAGGGAGATCTCGAATTCCTGGACTCAAGTGATCCTCCTACATCAGCTCCCTAAATTGCTGGATTACAGGTGTGTGCCTGCTTTATGTGTTTTTCTTTCTTTCTTTCTTTCTTTTTTTTTTTTTTTTTTTTTTTAGACAGAGTTTCGCTCTTGTTGCCCTGGCTGGAGTGCAATGGCGCGATCTTGGTTCACTGCAACCTCCACCTCCTGGGTTCAAGCGATTCTCCTGCCTCAGCCTCCTGAGCAGCTGGGACTATAGGCACGCATTACCACGCCCAGCTAATTTTTGTATTTTTAGTAGAGACGGGGTTTCACCATATTGGCCAGGCTGGTCTCGAGCTCTTGACCTCGTGATCCACCCACCTCGGCCTCCCAAAGTGCTGGGATTGCATACGTGAGCCACCGCGCCCGGCCCTGTGTTTTTCTTTTTAACCAAGATTTATTGAGCTGCTGTAGCTGGCCCTATGCTAAACATCTACATATGAAAACTACATTTAATCTCAGCCACCATGTGAGGGAGGTGCTCCTTTGCCCCCTTCATACCCGGGCTGTGGAGCCAAGTGGACTTGGTTTTGAATCCAGCAGCAGAGTAACCCTTTGGACAGCTGACATCACCTTTCTGAGCCTCAGTTTCCTCGTTTGTAAAAGAAGAATAATGGTATTAGTAACTCGTGGGATTCTCTTTTTTTTTTTTTTTTTTGAGACAGACCATGCTCTGTCACCAAGACTGGAGTGTAGTGGCACTATCTTGGCTCACTGCAACCTCTGCCTCCCGGGTTCAAGCGATTCTCCTGCCTCAGCCTCCCAATTAGCTGGGATTACAGGTGCCCACCACCACACCCCAGCTAATTTTTTTTTTTTTTTTGAGATGGAGTCTCACTCTGTTGCCCACACCGGAGTATAGTGGCATGATTTCGGTTCACTGCAACCTCCATGTCCAGGTTCAAGCGATTCTCATGGCTCAGCCTCCCAATTTTCTGGGATTACAGGTGTGTGCCACCACACTCAGCTAATTTTTTTGTATTTTAAGTAGAGGCAGGGTGTCACCATGTTGGCCCGGCTGATCTTGAACTCCTAACCTCAAGTTATCTGCCTGCTTCGGCCTCCCAAAGTGCTGGGATTACAGGCATGAGCCACCACACCTGGCCCACCCCTGACTAATTTTTGTATTTTTAGTAGAGACAGGGTTTCACCATGTTGGCCAGGCTGGTCTTGAACTCCTGGCCTCAAGTGATCCACCCTCCTCAGCTTCCCAGTGTGCTGGGATTACAGGCATGAGCCACTGCCCCTGTCAGCCTCTATTTTATAGGTGTGGAAGCTGTGGCACAGAGAGGTTGAGATCCTTATCCAAGGTCAACAGCTTTGTAAGTGGAGGAGCCAGTTTGCAGCCAGCTGTGTGGTTTGTTCTGTGGTCCTGACTGCATAGAGGGGGAGAGACACTACCTCGGGGGTGGCTGGGGCACAGGCGAGGCACCAAGTAGGGAGCAGAATGGGACTGCAGACCTGTATACAGGCCCCCCATACACACCCCAGCGGCCAGCTCAGGGCCTGAGCCACCTAAAGGCTCCAGACGTTTCCAGTGAGTGGATCAGTAGCAGTGGACCTGGGGCAGCTCAGCAACAGCCGCTGCTGCTTGTCCTGTCTTGGGTTTCAGGTTCCGGGGTGGCAGGCCAGAGCAGGAAGAGGAAGTGCTGGGGGTGGGGAGGTGGCAGGAGACACTGGCTGCTGGAGGGGGCTCCCCTCTTCCAGGTGTGGGCAGGCCTGGGGGCAGAGACAAGGGAGCTGCAGGATGTGGCCCTCCATCTGCCGTGCCCTGGTGACCTACCCCACGTCTTGTGTCCAGCACCCACATGTGCTGAGATACCCTCACCCGCATGGACTCAGAATTCTCAGGGCTGGCTTTCGGCCACCAAAGATCTTAAACACGGTAGAAATCCTGATGGCATTGCCCCAAATTTATATGAGCTTGAAATGTTTTGTAAACGCCTGGACTGAGAAGTACATACTGCCATCCACTGTGGGCATTCTTAGACAAAAGCCTGTGAATCCTGTTGAAATTGTCAGAAAAGTCCTGTGAATAAATGATACTTGGCTGTTTTAAGGAGAGTGTCCACCATCTTCAGATTCTCAGAGATGTCCGACCCCAAGTCAGATCCAGATTGTGACCTTCATCTCGCTGCAGCCCCTTTTTTTATGGGTGTTGAGGAGGGTCTTGGCCAAGGTTACCGGTAAACAGGCAGTTAAGGAGCTGGAACATGGGTTTGCCAGTTTGGCCTGGCGTTCTTTATGCCTGAGTGTGCCCCTCTGGAGGATGTTGTAAAGAGACTGTGGGGTGGGGATGAGGTTCCTAAACTGAGTAATAATGAAGCTCACTTTTATTGAGGGTTTGTTGTGTGCCGGACACTACCTGTTTTACATGGATTGACTCTCTTAATCCTCAGAAGAAGCCTTCGAGGCTTGTCCCATTATTCCCATTTTACAGATGTGAAAACAGAGGCACAGAAAGTTGAAAGCTTGCCAGAGTCATACAGCCCAATCAAGGGCAGGGGAGTCAGGGTTCAAGCCAGGCAGACTGTAAAAGGAGAGCGGTGGGGAAGGAAGGAGTCCACACCCCTACCTAGGGCAGGAGGGGTGAGGACAGGAATTCCCTGCCTGCTGGGGGCCAGGCTAGTGTGCGGCTAATGGAGAAACTTCAACATTAGGCTTGCCGCTCTGAGCCTGCCACATATATAGCAAACACCTTATAAAGAGTCACTGTCCTTGATGGAATGACTGCCATAGGTATCCGCCATCTCCCTACCCCTGTCCCTCCAGCCCTCATGGGTTGACCATGGTTGTGTGCCCACTGCCCGCTGCTCCTGGCCCAGATCTGATAAGCTGGCTCCTTTGCATGGGGGTGACTTGCAAGGCCCAGGTGAGGAGCAGCGGGTGTCTGGCCCGGAGCATGCCCCTGGTGACCTCGGGTCCACAGGTCTCCAGGAACTGGGGGCAGCTGGTGTGTCAGCCCTGGGGCTGGGGAGGAGACAGCCCCAGGGTGTACTGGCCACCCAGCCTGCACCAGGGCTGGGCCCGTCGCTTCTGGGAAGCCTGCTCTGTATGTCAGGTCGTGCGCTGTGTTCTCAGAAGGGCCTGAGTGTGCCCTGGGAGGGCAGCCACCACCCCTCTGCATGTCCCCAGAGCAGGGCATGAAGGAGAAGCCTCTGCTTGGGTGTGAGGATGTGGGGCCAGCAGGCATGATGGCTGGCGATTGCTTTTTTTAATGCTTTTATTTTAACCATAGTAAAATACGCATAACAAAATTTACCATTTTGACCACTGATGGTGGTGGTTGGTACTAATTTTAATTTTATTATTATTATTATTATTATTATTATTATTATTATTATTATTATTGAGTTAGAGTCTCACTCTATTGCCCAGGCTGGAGTGCAGTGGCACGATCTCAGCTCACTGCAACCTCCGCCACCCGGGTTCAAGTGATTCTCCTGCCTCAGCCTCCCAAGTAGCTGGGATTACAGGCACGTGCCACCACGCCCAGCTAATTTTTGTATTTTCAGTAGAGATGGGGTTTCACCATGTTGGCCAGGCTGGTCTCCAACTCCTGACCTCAGGTGATCCACCCGCCTCAATTTCCCAAAGTGCTGGGATTACAGGCATGAGCCACTGGGCCCGGCCTGATTTTATTTTTTTTAGAGACAAGGTCTTGCTCTGGTGCCCAGACTGGAGGGCCATGGGGCAGTCATAGCTCACCACCACCTCAAACTCCTGGGCTCCAGCGATCCTTCCCCACCAGACTCCCAAGTAGCTAGAACTACAGGTGTGCACCACCACCCCCCAGCTAATTAAACAAATTTTTTTTATAGAGGTGGGGTTTCTCTGTGTTGCCTGGCTGCTCTCGAACTCCTGGCCTCAAGCAGTCCTCCCACCGCAGCCTCCACAAGTATTGAGATTACAGGCGTGAGCCACTGTGCCTGTCCTGCGGCTGGTTTCTAATACCTGGCTAGGTGGTAATAGCAGTGTTTTGGGAGGTGGTTACCATGTGCCAGCTCTCATTTAATTGTTAAAATAATTCTATGAATTGGCTGGGTGTGGTGGCTCACACATGTAATCCCAACACTTTGGGAGGCTGAGGCAGGCAGGTGGGTCACCTGAGGTTGGGAGTTCGAGACCAGCCTGGCCGACATGGTGAAACCCCGTCTCTACCAAAAGTACAAAAAAGTAGCAAGGTGTGGTGGCGCATGCCTGTAATCCCAGGTACTCGGGAGGCTGAGGCAGGAGGATCACTTGAACCCGGGAGTGGAGGTTGCAGTCAGCCGAGATCGCATCACTGGGCTCCAGCCTGGGCAAAAGAGCACGACTCTGTTTGGAGAAAAAAAAAAAAAAAATCCTATGAACTACTATTATATCCCTATTTTACGGATAAGAAAGTCGAGGCTCAGGCCGGGCGCGGTGGCTCACACCTGTAATCCCAGCACTTTGGGAGGCTGAGGCGGGCGGATCACGAGGTCAGAAGATCGAGACCATCCTGGCTAACACGGTGAAACCCCGTCTGCTAAAAATACAAAAAATTAGCCGGGCGTGGTGGCAGGCGCCTGTAGTCCCGGCTACTTGGGAGGCTGAGGCAGGAGAATGGCGTGAACCCGGGAGGTGGAGCTTGCAGTGAGCCGAGATCGCGACACTGCACTCCAGCCTAGCTTGGGCAACAGAGTGAGACTCCCTCTCAAAAAAAAAGAAAAGAAAAGAAAATCGAGGCTCAGAGAGGTTAAGTGACTTTCCCAGGGTTGCACAGTTAGTGAGTGCCAGGGCTGGGATTCAGATCCAGGCAGCCTTGGCTCTTGCTTTCTGTAGGGCTTTCTGCCACTCTCATCCACAAGTGGATAGGCCTTACTATCCCCATTGTAGACATATGAAAACTGAGGCTCGGAGAGGCCAAGCGACTGGCCAGGGTCCCAGAGCCTGACAGGAGGAGAGCTAGGACTGAAGAGTAGTAGTGTGGGCTGGGACCGCTGGCACTCATCCTGCCTGTCCCCCCGCAGGTGGCAATGGTGGAGGTGCAGCTGGACGCTGACCACGACTACCCACCGGGGCTGCTCATCGCCTTCAGTGCCTGCACCACAGTGCTGGTGGCTGTGCACCTGTTTGCGCTCATGATCAGCACCTGCATCCTGCCCAACATCGAGGCGGTGAGCAACGTGCACAATCTCAACTCGGTCAAGGAGTCCCCCCATGAGCGCATGCACCGCCACATCGAGCTGGCCTGGGCCTTCTCCACCGTCATCGGCACGCTGCTCTTCCTAGCTGAGGTGGTGCTGCTCTGCTGGGTCAAGTTCTTGCCCCTCAAGAAGCAGCCAGGCCAGCCAAGGCCCACCAGCAAGCCCCCCGCCAGTGGCGCAGCAGCCAACGTCAGCACCAGCGGCATCACCCCGGGCCAGGCAGCTGCCATCGCCTCGACCACCATCATGGTGCCCTTCGGCCTGATCTTTATCGTCTTCGCCGTCCACTTCTACCGCTCACTGGTTAGCCATAAGACTGACCGACAGTTCCAGGAGCTCAACGAGCTGGCGGAGTTTGCCCGCTTACAGGACCAGCTGGACCACAGAGGGGACCACCCCCTGACGCCCGGCAGCCACTATGCCTAGGCCCATGTGGTCTGGGCCCTTCCAGTGCTTTGGCCTTACGCCCTTCCCCTTGACCTTGTCCTGCCCCAGCCTCACGGACAGCCTGCGCAGGGGGCTGGGCTTCAGCAAGGGGCAGAGCATGGAGGGAAGAGGATTTTTATAAGAGAAATTTCTGCACTTTGAAACTGTCCTCTAAGAGAATAAGCATTTCCTGTTCTTCCAGCTCCAGGTCCACCTCCTGTTGGGAGGCGGTGGGGGGCCAAAGTGGGGCCACACACTCGCTGTGTCCCCTCTCCTCCCCTGTGCCAGTGCCACCTGGGTGCCTCCTCCTGTCCTGTCCGTCTCAACCTCCCTCCCGTCCAGCATTGAGTGTGTACATGTGTGTGTGACACATAAATATACTCATAAGGACACCTCCTTCCCGTGTCTTGTATTTGTTGGGCCTGGGCTACTGCTCACCCTGGTTAGGTGAGCCTCTAGGAAAACTTAAAACAAATTTTAAGCCAGGTATGGTGGCACATACCTGTGGTCTCAGCTATTCAGGAGGCCAAGGCAGGAGGATCTCTTGAGCCCAGGAGTTTGAGACCCCATCTCAAACAAAAAATACAAAAATTAGCCAGCCACGGCGCCTGCACTTCCAGCTCCTTTGAGAGACTGAGGCAGGAAGATTGCCTAAGCCCAGGAGGCCAAGTCTGCAGTGAGCTATGGTAACACCACTGCACTCCAACCTGGGCAACAGAGGGAGACTCTGTCTCTAAAAAAATAGAAAAATTTGCCCTGCATGGTGGCTCACGCCTGTAATCCTAGCCCTTTGGAAGGCCAAGGCGGGCAGATCACTTGAGGTCGGGAGTTCGAGACCAGCCTGACCAACATGGAGAAACCCCATCTGTACTAAAAATACAAAATTAGCTGGGTTTGGTGGCGCATGCTTGTAATCCCAGCTACTCGGGAGGCTGAGGCAGGAGAATCGCTTGAACCCAGGAGGCGGAGGTTGCAGTGAGCTGAGATCGCGCCATTGCACTCCAGCCTGGGCAACAACAGTGAAACTCCGTCTCAAAAAAAAAAGAAAAAAAAATTCAACATTTTATTTTGAGAAATTTCAAACCTACAAAAAGTTGCAGGAATAGTGTCTATCTGAAATACATATTCAGTCTTTTCTTTAGAAGTCTTTTTTTTTTTTTTTTTTTTAAATAGAGCCTCACTCTGTCACCCAGGCTGGAGTGCAGTGGCGCGATCTGTAAAATCACTGTGAGCACTGACTTAGCACATACTGGACCGTTGCTCCTAGGAGAAATACAGGGTTGCGTTCCTGTGAGCTTTGGTCGTGATATTTTCATCAGCTGATCAATATGTAATCTTGTTTTATGTGTATTTCTGTTTAAAGATTCATATATATATGTGTATATATATATATGGTTGAGTTGTTACCGTTGAACTCACAGCCCACAGGACTAGAACACATGCCTAAATAAAGTTTATCTAACATACTTGTTTTCTCCATATGTATATCCATCATAACCTTCTTGCACTGAGGAATATTAGATAATATATATATGTATTTATGTATTATACATATATATATATATTTTTTTTTTTGAGACAGAGTTTTGCTCTTGTTGCCCAGGCTGGAGTGCAAGGGCACGATCTCTGCTCACTGCAACCTCCACCTTCTGGTTTCTTTCTTTTGTTTGAAACAAAGTTTTACCTTGTTGCCCAGGCTCCAGTGCAGCGGCACAATCTCAGCTTACTACAGCCTTTGCCTCCCAGGTTCAAGTGATTCTCCTGCCTCAGCCTCTTGAGTAGCTAGGATTACAGGCATGCACCACCATGCCCAGCTGATTTTTGTGTTTTTAGTAGAGACGGGGTTTTACCACGTTGGCCAGGCTGGTCTCGAACTCCTGACCTCAAGCTATCCACCCGCCTGGGCCTCCCAAAGTGCTGGGATTACAGGCATGAGCCACTGCGCCCAGCCCACCTTCTGGTTTCCAGCGATTCTCCTGCCTCAGCCTCCTGAATACTTGGGATTACAGGCACCGGCTACCACACCCGGCTAATTTTTTTGTATTTTTAGTAGAGGCAGGGGTTTCGCTGTGTGGGCCAGGCTGGTCTGGAACTCGACCCCGTTATCCACCCACCTTGGCCTCCCAAAGTTCTGGGATTACAGGCGTGAGCCACTGGACCCGGCCTATTATTATATATATATATTTTGAAACAGTCTCACTCCATCCCCCAGGCTGGAGTGCAGTGGCACAATCTCTGATCACATGCAGCTTCCGCTTCCTAGGTTCAAGTGATTCTTCTGCCTCAGCCTCCCAAGTAGCTAGAATCACAGGAGCGCGCCACCACACCCAGCAAATTTTTGTATTTTTAGTAGACGGGATTTCACCATGTTGGCCGGGCTGGTCTCGAACTCCTGACCTCACGTTATCTGCCCGCCTCAGCCTCCCAAAGTGCTGGGATTACAGACATGAGCCACTGCTCCCTGCCTATTTTATTTTAGAGACAGGGTTTCCCTCTGTCACCCAGGCTGGAGTACAGTGGCATGACCATAGCTCACTGTAACCACCAACTCCTGAGCTGAAGTGATCCTCCCTGCAGTGAGCTCTGGTCACTCCACCTCCCAAGTAGCTAGGACCACAGGCACATATCACCATGCCCAGCTTTTTTTTTTTTTTTTTTTTTGAGACGGAGTTTCACTCTTGTTGTCCAGGCTGGAGTGCAATGGTGCGATCTCGGCTCACAGCAATCTCCACCTCCCGGGTTCAAGCCATTCTCCTGCCTCAGCCTCCTGAGTAGCTGGGATTACAGGCATACGCCACCACGCCTAGCTAATTTTGTATTTTTAGTAGAGATGGGGTTTCTCCATGTTGGTCAGGCTGGTCTCGAACTCCAGACCTCAGGTGATCCACCCACCTCGGCCTCCCAAAGTGCTGGGATTATAGGTGTGAGCCACCGCGCCCAGCTTTCTTTTTTTTTTTTTGAGATAGAGGTTTACTCTTGTTGCCTAGGCTAGAGTGCAATGGTGCGATCTCGGCTCACTGCAAAGCTGGCAAAGTCACAGACACTGACTGAAGACTGAGGAGGGACTGTGTCTACCTTCCCCCTGAGGCATGTGCTGTAGTTACCGGTATGGTCCTTCATGCCTAAATACTTCCTCCTAAAACTAAGGACATTTCCCTACATGACGACAATCCAGTGATCAAATCCAGGCAATTATCAGATAGAACATTCCTGTTCAGTTTCCCAAATGTCCCAGTAATGTCCCTTCTAGTGACGTTTTTTCCACTTGAGGATTGTGTGTCACAACGAGATATCACTTCCTAGTCTCCTTTATTATTTTTATTTTATTATTATTTTTTTGAGACGGAGTCTCACTCTGTCGCCCAGGCTGGAGTGCAGTGGCATGATCTTGGCTCACTGCAAACCCCGCCTCCTAGGTTCAAGCGATTCTTCTGCATCAGCTGCCCGAGTAGCTGGGATTACAGGTGCCCACCACCACGCCGGGCTAATTTTTGTATTTTTAGTAGAGAAGGTGTTTCACCATGTTGGCTAGGCTGGTCTCAAACTCCCAGTCTCAAGTGATCCCCTCGCCTTGGCCTTTCAAAGTGTTAGGATTACAGGCGTGAGCCACCGTGCCCAGCCTTAGTCTCCTTTAATTTGGAACAATTCCTCAGCCTTTTTTTTGTTTGTTTGTGTTTGAGACAGGGACTTCCCATGTCACCCAGGCTAGAGGGCAGCCTCAACCTCCTAGGCTCAAGCAATCCTTCCACCTCAGCCTCCTGAGTAGCTGGGAATACAGGCACATGCCACTACGCCTGGATAATGTTTGTATTTTTTATAGAAACAGGGCCTCTCTTGCCCAGGCTGGTCTTGAACTCCTGGCTTCAAGGGATCCTCCCACCTTGGCCTCCCGAACTGCTGAGATTGCAGCTGTGAGCCACAGCACCCAGGCTAGCCTTTGTCTTTAAAAAACTTTTTGGCTGGGCTCAGTGGCTCACGCCTGTAATCCCAGAACTTTGGGAGGCCGAGGCGGGCGGATCACGAGGTCAGGAGATCAAGACCATCCTGGCTAACAGGGTGAAACCCCGTCTCTACTAAAAAATACAAAAAGTTAGCTGGGCGTGGTGGTGGCTGCCTGTAGTCCCAGCTGCTCGGGAGGCTGAGGCAGGAGAATGGCGTGAACCCGGGAGGTGGAGCTTGCAGTGAGCCGAGATTGCACCACTGCACTCCAGCCTGGGCGACAGAGAGAGAGTCCGTCTCAAAAAAAAAAAAGAATACAAAAATTAGCTGGTCGTGGTGGTGCGTGCGTGTAATCCCAGCTACTCGGGAGACTGAGACAGGAGAATCTCTTGAACCTGGGAGCTGGAGGTTGCAGTGAGCTGAGAGCGTGCCACTGCACTCCAGCCTGCTGGACAGAGCAAGACTCCAAAAAAGAAAAATCATTATGTGCAGCTGCTATTCTACGCACTATGCATCAACTCATTTAACCCTCAGCACCCTTATATGGTGGGTACCTTTTTTTTTTTTTTTTTTTTTGAGACGGAGTCTCTCACTTTTGTCACCCAGGCTGGAGTGCAATGGCGCGATCTCGGCTCACTGCAAGCTCCACCTCCCAGGTTCCCGCCATTCTCCTCCCTCAACCTCCCGACTAGCTGAGACTACAGGCGCCCGTCACCATGCCCGGCTAATTTTTTGTATTTTTAGTAGAGACGGGGTTTCACCACGTTAGCCAGGATGGTCTCGATCTCCTGACCTCGTGATCCGCCCATCTCGGCCTCCCAAAGTGCTGGGATTACAGGCGTGAGCCACCGCGCCCGGCCAGTGGTGAGTACTATTATTATCTCCATTTTGCAGAAGGTAAAATTCATGCCCGTGGAAGTTAAGTAAATTGCCAGGATTTGAACCTGGATAGTCTGGCTCAGAGCCTAGGCCCTCACAAAGATCTTACCTGGGCTGATTCTGGCTTTGCTTTAAATGGAGGGCCGGGTGTGGTGGCTCATACCTGTAATCCCAGCACTATGGAAGGCTGAGGCAGCTGTATCACCTGAAGTCAGCAGTGTTTGAGACCAGCTTGACCAACAGGGTGAAACCCCATCTCTACTAAAAATACAAAAATTAGCCAGGCGTAGTGGAGCACACCTGTAATCCCAGCTACTTGGGAGGCTGAGGCAGGAGAATCATTTGAACCTGGGAGGCAGAGGTTGCAATGAGCTGAGATCACGGCATTGCACTCCAGCCTGGGCGACAAGAGCAAAACTCGGTCCCAAATAAATATATACATACATACATACATACATACATACACACACACACACACATACATACATTAAAGAACTGTTGGAAGCCCTAGCTGCATGGGGCCACCTTCTTACAGAGCAACAATGAGCAGCAGCTGCACTGCAGCCACACTCTCCCCAGGGCCTATTTTTTCCACAGTCCCCAGCACTCCCTCTTGTCTCACACCAGGCCGCCTTCACTCATGTGACTTTCTTGGCCTCATTAGGCCTTTGAGTTTGAGATTTCTGTCTGTCCCAAACATCTAATATAGAAAGTGGTTATGCTCACGCCTGTAATCCCAGCACTTTAGGAGGATGAGGCAGGTAGATGACTTGAACCCAGGAGTTTGAGACCAGCCTGGGCAACATGGCGAAACCCTGTCTCTACACAAAATACAAAAATTAGTTGGGCATGGTGGCACGCGCCTGTAATCCCAGCTACTTGGGAAACTGAGGCTGGAAGATCGCTTGAGTCTGGGAAGTAGAGGGTGCAGTGATCCTTGATTGTGCTACTGGACTCCAGCCTGGGCAACAGACCCTGTCTCAAAAAAGAAAAATTTAAACCAAGTTTTTAATTAGTTTTATAAAAGAATGTAGTCTGGCTGAAGTGAAATGTGGGTGGAGCATCAGCAGGCCTGATATTTCTCTTTCTCCTATCATTGTTGTCCCAGGTGCTTCACAGAACCCCAAGACTCTGGAGAAACACAATTTGGAAAGTGTGGCCTTAAGTTCTTGTCCTGTGCGGACTGGGACACAGTGAACGGCAGCTTCATAGTCTGGGTGGGGAAGGGGACCCTCCTTTTCCCTCCAGCAGCATTTGCAGTCCTGTGTCACATGCTCCAGGATCCACACTTCTTTTTTGTTTGTTTTGTTTTGTTTTGAGACAGAGTCTCATTCTGTCGCCCAGACTGGAGTACAGTGGTGAAATCTTGGCTCACTGCAACCTCCGCCTCCCGGGTTCAAACGATCCTCCTGCCTCAGCCTCCCAAGTAGCTGGGATTATAGGTGCACACTACCACGCCTGGCTAATTTTTGTATTTTTTGGTACAGATGGAGGTTTCACCATGTCGGCCAGGCTAGTCTGGAACTCCTGGCCTCATGTGATCCACCCGCTTCAGCCTCCCAAAGTGTTGGGACTACAGGCGTGAGCCACCACGCCTGGCCTAATCCACACTTTTGAAGGGTATCAAGTAGATGAGGGAGGGACCTCTATGAACCCCCACTGCTCCCCAGAGAAGTCCTGGACTTTTTTTTTTTTTTTTTTTTTTGAGACCAAGTCTCACTCTGTTGCCCAAGCTAGAGTGCAGTGGCGCGATTTCAGCTCACTGCAACCTCTGCCTCTCGGGTTCAAGGGATTCTCCTGCCTCGGCCTCCCGAGTAGCTGGGACTACAGGCATGAGCCACCACGCCCGGCTAATTTTTGTATTTTTAGCAGAGATGGGCTTTCACCACACTGGCCAGGCTGGTTTCCAACTCCTGACCTCAGGTGATCCACCTGCCTCAGCCTCCCAAAGTGCTGGGATTACAGGCGTGAGCTACCGCACCCGGCCGTCCTGGACATCTTTTACGTATTCCCCTAGGACAGCCACCTCCCTACTTCTGTAGGGATGCAAGATCCAGCTGGAATTATTTCTGGGCTAGGATCCTGTTGTCTTGGGTTCTTGTTCCTAAACTGGCCGGGACTCGACTCATCAGCCAGGCTTGTCAAATGCAGGTTTCGAAGCCCTTGGAGGATTCTGATTTAAGTAGGTCTGGGTGTGTCTTTGGAATCTATTTCTAACAAGCACCCCAGGTGCTCTCACACCCAGGCAACTTAGACAAACACTCCTAGTTAGGAGCACAGTCTCTTTAACTTCATTTTTATTTACATTTTGAATACATAATACATTCACATGGTTCCAAACACAACACTGAAAAGTTGTTCTTCAGCTCCTGTTCCCAAGTCCCCAATTCTCCCCAGAGACAACCATCTTTGCCAGTTTATTGTGTTTAAATCTAGCGACATTTTGTACATAAACAAGCACACCCTCTTCCAACATTTTTTTTTTTTTTGAGATGGAGTCTCGCTCTGTTGCCCAGGCTGGAGAGCAGCGGCACGATCTCGGCTCGGCGTGATCTTGGCTCACCACTACCTCCGCCTCCTGGGTTCAAGTGATTCTCCTGCCTCAGCCTCCTGAGTAGCTGGGATTATAGATGCACTCCACCACACCCAGCTAATTTTTGTATTTTTAGTAGAGACAGGGTTTCACCATGTTGGTCAGGCTGGTCTCGAACTCCTGACCTCTTGATCCGCCTGCCTCGGCCTCTCAAAGTGCTAGGATTACAGGCATGAGCCACCATGCCCTGCCCCCACTTTTTCTTTAAAAATGGTAACCCTTTACACTCTTCTGCACATTAAGAACAGCTAGACCTAAGTTTAAGCACAGTACTAGCTTGATGACTTGTGATCCTCCCTGAACCTGTTTCCTCCTCTAAAATGGCAGTAATAGCAAGACACCTCACTGTTGTCGGGGAGTGCCAGGAGAGAATGCTTGCTGCGAAGCTGTCAGCACACGGCCTGGAATAGAGTGAGTGCTCCATATCTGGAAGTTATGATTAATTCTGCATCCTAGGGTGGCCAGGCGGGGCTTCCCAGTGCCAGAGGTACAGACTGAGAACCACACCCTTGGTGAGGCCACCCTACTTATGACTTAGGGGGCAGAGAGAACCTCAGTAAGGTCAGTGGTGTTTATTGAGGCTTTACTATGTGCTATGTGCCTCTTGCTGAGGTCTTAGCTAGAATCGTGGTATTTCAGGGTTTCTCAACATTTTTTTTTTTTTTTTTTTTGGAGATGGTGTCTCGCTCTGTCGCCCAGGCTGGAGTGCAATGGCGCAATCTCGGCTCACTGCAACCTCTGCCACCCAGGTTCAAGCAATTCTCCTGCCTCAGCCTCCCAAGTAGTTGGGATTACAGGTGCTGAATTCTTTTTTTTTTTTTTTTTTGTAGCATGGTGATATTGCACTATGCTTAACCGCATCCCTGGTCTCTACTCACTCAATGCCAGTAGCCTTCTTCCTGCCTGTTGTGACATCAAAAATGTCATACATTGCCAAATGTCCCCAAGAAAGAGTGGGGCTGAGGGAGGACAAAATCCTACCCACAGTTTAAAACCACCGCCTTATCTCATCCTCACAGTAACTAACCACAGTAACCCCAGGTGGTAAGTACTGTTAATGCCCCATATTGCAAGTGAGGAGACCAACAGAACAGAGTTTGGGTGACATTCCTGAGAACACACAGCTCCGAGATTCACGCCCAGGCACTGTGACTCCAGAGCTCACCTGCCCATTATGCAAGAACATCTGATCTTGGCTGGGAGCAGTGGCTCACACCTGTAATCCCAGCACTTTGGGAGTCCAAGGCGGGCAGATCACGAGGTCAGGAGATCGAGACCGTCCTGGCCAACATGGTGAAACCCTGTCTCTACTAAAAATACAAAAAATTAGCCTTGGTGGCAGGTGCCTGTAATCCCAGCTACTTGGGAGGCTGAGGCAGGATAATCGCTTGAACCAGGGAGGCGAGGTTGCAGTGAGCCGAGATTGTGCCACTGCACTCCAGCCTGGGTGACAGAGCAAGACTCTGTCTCAAAAAAAAAAAAAAAAAAAAAAAAAAGGCCAGGCTCGATGGCTCACACCTGTAATCCCAGCACTTTAGGAGACTGAGCGGGGCAGATCACGAGGTCAGGAGTTCAAGACCAGCCTGACCAACATGGTGATACCCCATCTCTACTAAAAATACAAAAATTAGCTGGGCTCAGTGGCATGCGCCTGTAATCCCAGCTACTCAGGAGGCTGAGGTAGGAGAATCGCTTGAACATGGGAGGCAGAGGTTGCAGTGAGCTGAGATCGCGCCACTGCATTCCAGCCTGGGCAATAGAGGGAGACTACGTCTTAAAAAAAAAAAATCACCTGGGGAATTTTCTGAAAGCTCAGGCCTCACCCCAGATGAATTAGATGTGAACCTGTGAATCTCTGGGCATGGGACCTGGGCTTCCACAGCTTTGCAAAGTTTCCATGGGATTTCAAGGTTGAGAGCCCTGTGTTAGGCTGAGAAGTGGTCAGGAAATTTTATGATCTCCAATCTTGGCAGCCAGTGTGGCAGGATACAGGCCTTCTCTCTGGGTCATCTGGGTTATCTCACAGGGGACCTGCCATTTCTTTCTCTTTTTCTTTTCCTTTCTTTTATATTTTAAAATTTTTTTTTGTAGAGTCAGGGTCTTGCTATGTTGCCTAAGCTGGTCTCGAACTCCTGGCCTCAGGCAGTCCTCTTACCTTGGCCTCCCAAGTTCTGGGATTACAGGAATGAGCCACTGCACCCGGCCTAAGACCTGCCCTTACTCCCCCAAGCTAAACCCAGGCAGCCCAGCCAAGGCAGGTCTTCCCTCTTCTAAACCTGAAAGCCCTGCTGAGCCCCCTCGAGTGCCCCATCCTTATCCCATAGGCCCAGGCTTATACCACTTGGTTATTCTTTATTCTCATGCATTCCAGGATGAGATCAGAGAATGAAGAGGGTCCCGAGGACAGCCTGGGAGAGAAGCACCAGCCTTCCTATTGGCAAGAAATGACCCAGTGCTGGGGGTAGTGAGGGGCCCTATGAGGGTGCCGGGGTCATGCCTGGAGCTGCTGCTGACTCCTCCAGCCAGAGCCGCACTGGTCTGAGCGATCGGGTGACACAGGCTTGAATTTCTCCTGAAGCGTTTGTGTTCTCTGCAGGGGAGAGAGGGATGGTGGAGCTGGCATTTGAAAGACGCTGTTACCAATGTCCTCTCCTCAAACCCTCACATCATGCCCAGGAGGACTTGGACTGGACAAGACCCCACTGGACAGATGTGTAAATGGAGGCTGAAGGCCAACTGCCTTACTCAAGGGTGTTCAGAAGCCAGGAGACCACCTCCTTTCAACCCCGTGCCCAGCTCAGTTGTGTGGCCCAGGGTGCAAATAGAAGGTTTCAGGCAGGACTGGAATGCACTGGTCTTCAGTGAAATGGTTTGTTTGTTTGTTTATTTGTTTGTTTGTTTGTTTTTTGAGACACAGTCTCACCCAGACTGGAGTGCAGTGGCACAGTCTCAGCTCACTGCAACCTCTGCCTCCCAGGTTCAAGCAATTCTCTGCCTCAGCCTCCTGAGTAGCTGGAATTACAGGTGCCCTCCCCCACGCCCAGCTAATTTTTGTGTTTTTAGTACAGATGGGGTTTCACCATCTTGGCCAAGCTAGTCTTGAACTCCTGACCTCGTGATCCACCCACCTCGGCCTCCCAAAGTGCTGGGATTACAGGATTATAGGATTACTGTGCCTGGCGAGTTTTGTTTTTTTTGAGACAGAGTCCCATTCTGTCGCCCAGGCTGGAGTGCAGTGGTGCAATCTCAGCTCACTGCAACCTTCACCTCCCGGGTTCAAGTGATTCCCCTGCCTCAGCCTCTCGAGTAGCTGGGACTACAGGTGCCTGCCACCACACCTGGCTAACTTTTATATTTTTAGTAGAGATGGGGTTTCACCATGTTGGCCAGGCTGGTCTCAAATTCCTGACCTCAACTTATCCGCCTGCCTTGGCCTCCCAAAGTGCTGGGATTAAAGGCAAGAGCCACCACAGCCGGTCAAAAGGGGTTTTGAAGAGGAAGCGTCAAAAAGGACACCTGGGACTGTAGGAGGCAAGAAGCCTGCCCTCGATGGTCTTGCTCCCCCACTCCCCGACCCCAAGCCCTTTGGAGACCCCAGGAGATCTGTGCATTGTTCTGGGCCCTGGAGCAGCCTCAGCCACATCAGAACTTGGCAGGTGTGCCCACCCCTCACCTGGCATCAATCTCCTTCCTCTGTCTTCCTGAACATGGCCAAGGCCTCCGCCAGCACACCATCAGGGTCTAGGATTTTGACCTGGAGGGAAATACCAAGAAGTTGGTTTGGAGAGCATGGAGGACCCAGGCTGCCAGCCTTGACTGGCGCTGCCTGCCGTGTGGGGTGCTGCCAGCCTCATCAGGAGCCACCTCCCTTGCTAGGGATGCCCTGACTGAAAACAAAACCTTGTCTGTTCCCTGTCTGGGCTTGGCTGGGCCTGGCAGATCTGGCCTGGGCATGGCTGGGGATGCTGGCTTCTGTCTCTGTCTGGGTGTGGCCACAGGGCCCTGGTGAGGGCTGCCCACCTCAGGAATGGGGAACTGAGTGGGCTCAGGGGCCTCGTCACGGCCAAAGTCGATCATCGTCCCGCATTTGGCCATATTGTCCACCCAGAAGCCTTCAAACAGCTGGCCGTGGTCCAGATGGAAGAAACGCCCCGCCCCGTTCTTCATGCCTCTCTCCCAGCAGCCCTCGTAGCGGTTCCCGTTCTCTGGGGGAAAGGACAGGGAGGTGTGGTGCAGGGTACACCAAACTAAGCTAGACCCCCAGGGGTCGCTCTTCCAGAGCTCAGTGCAAATCCTAACACATTGGGAGGCCAAGATGGGAGGCTCATAAGCCCAGGAGATCAAGACCAGCCTGAGCAACATAGTGAGACCACATCTCTGCAAAAAAAAAAATTTTTTTAATTAGCTGGGCATAGTGGTGTGCACCTATAGTCCCAGCTACTCTGGAGGCTGAGGTGGGAGGATGGCTTGAGCTCAAGAAGTTGAGGCTGCAGTGAGCTGAGATTGCCCCACAGCACTCCAGCCTGAGTGACAACCTCCGCCTCCCGAGTTCAAGTGATTCTCCTGCCTCAGCCTCCTGAGTAGCTGGGATTACAGGTGTATACCACCACATGCAGCTACTTTTTGTATTTTTAGTAGAGACAGGGTTTCTCCACGTTGGCCAGGCTGATCTCAAACTCCTGACCTCATGATCCGCCCGCCTCTGCCTCCCAAAGTGCTGGGATTACAGGCATGAGCCACTGCGCCTGGCTTTTTTTTTAAAAATTGAGATATAAGTTCATATAACATAAGTTGGCCATTTTGAAGTGTATAGTTCAGTGGCATTTAGTACATTCACAATGCTGTGCAACCATTACCTCTATCTAGTTTCAAAACGTTTTAATCACCCGAAAAGGAAACCCTGTGCCCATTAAGCAGCCATTCCCCACACCCACTAATGTCACCACCCCCATAGTCCTAGGCAACCATTAGTCTACTTTCTGTCTCTGTGGAGGTGCGTGTCCTAAAAATTTCATATAAATAGCATCATATATATGTGACCTTTTGTGACTGAGGGGAGAGATAGGGTGCTCTTCCTCTCTTGTCCCACATTGACACAAGGGTCAGTGTGGGACAAGAGTGTGGGGTGTGGCCTGTCTCTGTGGGACCAAATGGGCGTGGCCAGCTCGCTGCCGGGGGCGTGGTCGGGTGGGCGGGGCCGGCGGGGGTGGGGCACTCACTCAGGCGCAGCATGCCCTCCCCGTTGGGCTTGTCGTTCTCCCACTGTCCCTCGTAGATGTCGCCGTTGCTGTAATACATGCGGCCCCACCCGCTGCGCTGGCTGCCACACCAGTCACCCTCATAATACTCCTTGGGTCCGAAAAACTGGATCCCATAACCCTGAAAGTACGAAGATGCTACTACTCAGGGCGCCCCCCAACACCACCAGGAAAGCCCACCGTCTTCCCAGGCACCCCTAGAGCCACACACCCCAGCTTCTTCCTTCTTCCTCAGCCCTACGTCCAAGCGGAGGGTCGTGTCTTAGCGGAGTATCCTGTCTTTTTTGTTTGTTTGTTTGTTTTTAGACAGAGATCCACTCTGTCACCCAGGCTGGAGTGCAGTGATGTGATCTCGGCTCACTGTAACCTCCGTCCCCCGGGTTCAAGTGATTCTCCTGCCTCAGCCTCCCGAGAAGCTGGGATTACAAACACGCATCACCACGCCCTGCTAATTTTTGTATTTTTAGGAGAGACAGGGTTTCACCATGTTGGCCAGGCTGGTCTTGAACTCCTGACTTCAAGTGATCCGCCCGCCTCAGCCTCCCAAAGTGCTGGGATTACAGGTGTGAGCCATAGTGCCCACCGATAATGTCTTGAAGGATCTCCCCATGCTCTGTTTCTCTCTGTCCCTCTGCTGGCGCCTCCATGCAGCCAGTCATTAAACTCCCTCCTTACTGACCCACCCTCTCCTCTCTCATCCCCACCACACCATGCGCCATGCAGCCCCTACAGCGCCGGAGGACTCTTTAAATCGCCCATCTAGGCTGGGCGCTGTGGCTCACCGGCTCACTTTAGGAGGCTGAGGTGGGTGGATCACTTGAGGTCAGGAGTTTGAGACCAGCCTGGCCAACATGGTGAAACCCCATCTCTACCAAAAATACAAAAAATTAGCTGGGCGTGATGGCGGCGCCTGTGATCCCAGTTACTGGGGAGGCTGAGGCAGGAGAATCACTTGAACCTGGGAGATGGAGGTTGCAGTGAGCTGAGAATGCACGGTAGCCTAGGTGACAGGGTGAGACGCTATCTCAAAAAAAAAAAAAATCGCCCATCTGATCATGCTCGCCCCCCTCCCACTCTTATTTTGACCCAGAAAAATGAACATAAACACCATACTTAGCCTGGCGTGGTGGCTTACGCCTATAATCCCAGCACTTTGGGAGGCCGAGGCAGATGGATCACCTGAGGTCAGGAGTTTTAGACCAGCCTGACCAACGTGGCAAAACCCTGTCTCTATTAAAAATATAAAAAATTAGCTGAGTGTGGTGGTGGGCACCTGTAATACTAGCTACTTGGGAGGCTGAGGCAGAAGAATTGCTTGAACCCAGGAGTCGGAGGTTGCAGTGAGCCCAGATCGTGCCATTGCACTCCCACCTGGGCAACAGAGCAAGACTGTCTCAAAAAACAAACAAACAAACAAACAAAAAACACCACACTTAGGCTGGGCGCTGTGGCTCACGCTTGTAATCCCAGCACTTTGGGAGGCCAAGGCAGGCGGATCACAAGGTCAGGAGATCGAGACCATCCTGGCTAACATGGTGAAAACCCGTCTCTACTAAAAATACAAAAAAATTAGCTGGGTGTGGTGGTGGGTGCCCGTAGTCCCAGCTACTCGGGAGGCTGAGGCAGGAGAAGGCCGTGAACCAGGAGGCGGAGCTTGCAGTGAGCCAAGATCGCGCCACTGTACTCCAGCCTGGGCAACAGAGAAAGACTCCGTCTCAAAAAACAAAAAACACCACACTTAGTGTCCAACCACAGGGAAACAAGGTCTGTTTGCAGATCACACCCGAGGAGGTTGGGTTGAGAAGCCAAGTCTACTCCTCAAAATCCTGATTTCCCACATATCCCTGAGGGCCCCCGCAACTCTTCTCCTCACTCCTGTCCCAGGGCAGACACACTCTGCTGTTTTACATCTCGTTCCCTTTGCTATTTTTTTGCCTCCCATCTTTCTCCCTTTTTTTTCTTCCTGGCTAACTCCTAGCATCTTTTAGTGTCACCTCCTACAGGAAGCCTGCCCTGAATTCCCTCTTTTTGAGACAAGTCTTGCTCTGTTGTCCAGGCTGGAGTGTAGTGGCACCACCATAGCTCACTATAACCTCAGCCTCCTGAGATCAAGCAATCCTCCTGCCTCAGCCTTTTGAAAAGTTGGGACTACAGATGTGCACCACAACATCTAGCTAATTATTATTATTATATAGTTTTATTTATTTATTTATTTATTTTGAGATGGAGTCTCACTCTGTTGCCCAGGCTGAAGTGCAGTGGCGTGATCTCGGTTCACTGCCACCTCTGCCTCCTGGCTTCAAGCGATTCTAATGTCTCCGTCTCCCTAGCTGGGACTACAGGTACACACCACTATGCCCGGCTAATTTTTTTTGTGTTTTTTATTTAGTAGAGACGGGGGTTTCACCATGTTGGCCAGGCTAGTCTCGAACTCCTGACCTCAAGTGATACACCCCTGTCTGCCTCCCAAATTGCTGGGATTACAGGCGTGAGCCATTGTGCTTAGCCTTCTGTCCTGAATTCTCTAGGCTGGGCTTGATGACCTTCCTCTGGGCACCCTGTGAAAACATCCCTCCTAATACCATATTCTACGTAAATTGGTTATTCAGGGCTTTCTCTTCCTACTTGCCAATAAACAATTTGGGAGCAGAGAACATGAAACCCTGGGCTCTACCACTTGCTAGCTGTGTGACTCCAGGCAAGACTGAAACTGCCTTTGCAAAATTATGACTGAGACAGTGAAAGAGATTTAATTTAACTGACTCCATCTTGCTTCTAACCTCTAAGCTGTCCATGTCCATTCCTGGGCTTAAGCTGAACTAACTTTGGGAGAAACTTATAGTTTATAGTTTAAACAAAGACAGTAACAGCCCTTTCCCGAAGACCTCCTTCTTGCCTGGGGACTAGATTGCCTTTGTAGGATTAACATTAGCTACAAGATTATAAATTATGGTTTAGGAGTCATGCAGCTGGAAGCTACAAGATTCTGATCCTCACTAAACTGCTCCTAAGATCAATGCTTAAGATATTTTGCAGACCTTGCACTTGATGGATCAGCTGGCACTACCCAAATCAATAAACTGATTTATGTGATCTTGTGGCTCCCCACCTAGGAACTGACTCAGGGCAAGAAGACAGCTTTGACTCCCTGTGATTTTATCTCTGACCAATCAGCACGCCTGGCTTACTCTTTCCCCCACCCACCAAGTTATCCTTAAAAACTCTGCAGCCAGAATGTTCCGGGAGACTGATTTGAGTAATAATACAACCCAGGGCCAGGCGCGGTGGCTCATGCCCGTAATCTTAGCACTTTGGGAGGCCCAGGCTGGCGGATCACCTGAGGTCGGGAGTTCGAGACCAGCCTGGCCAATATGGAGAAACTCTGTCTCTACTAAAAATACAAAATTAGCAGTGTGTGGTACCACATGCCTGTAATCCCAGCTACTCGGGAGACTGAGGCAGGAGAATCGCTTGAACCCAGGAGGCGGAGGTTGCGGTGAGCCGAGATCACACCATTGCACTCCAGCGTGGCGACAAGAGCGAAACTCCATCTCAAAAAATAAATAAATTAATAATAATAATAATAAAACTCAGGTCTCCCACACAGCCAGTTCTGTGTTAATTACTCTTTCTCTATTGCAATTCCCGTCTTGATGAATCGGCTCTGTCTGGGGAGCAAGAAGACAGCTTTGACTCCCTATGATTTTATCTCTGACCAATCAGCACTCCTGGTTCACTGTCTTTCCCCCACCCACCAAGTTATCCTTAAAAACTCTGCTGCTGGAATGTTCGGGGAGACTGATTTGAGTAATAATACAACTCAAGGCCAGGCACCGGCAAGGTGAACCCCTTGGGCAGTTACAAGACACCTCATCTCTTCGAGCTTGTTTGCTTATCAATAAAATGGGCATGAAGATGATGATGATGATGAGCTGTTGCTGTGAGAGTTAACTGAATATTAAATGTGTTTCAGGCCGGGCGCGGTGGCTCACGCCTGTAATCCCAGCACTTTGGAAGGCCGAGGCGGGCGGATCACGAGGTCAGGGGATGGAGACCATCCTGGCTAACACGGTGAAACCCCGTCTTTACTGAAAATACAAAAAATTAGCCGGGCGTGGTGGCGGGCGCCTGTAGTCCCAGCAACCTGGGAAGCTGAGGCAGGAGAATGGCGTGAACCCGGGAGGCGGAGCTCGCAGTGAGCCAAGATGGCGCCACTGCACTCCAGCCTGGGCGGCAGGATGAGACTCCCTCTCAAAAAAAAAAAAAAAAAAAAAAGTTTTAAATATGTGTTTCAGGCTCACAGTAGCAGTTGCTCAGTTGCAATACTGTTTATTATTAGTGTCTCTGGGACTGATGGTGAGGATTCCTCCACACTTGTGGGAGTAGATGGAGGGAACCTGTGCCCAGCTTGGGTGTTTCCGGGCTGAGCACGCGCCTCTGGCTGGCTTCGGCCCCCCGGGACCCTCCTCTCCTGTCCCCTGCTCTCTTGCTCCCACTTTTCCTACCTCCCTTTTATTCAGGCCCAGCAGAAAGGGGATTCTCAGAAAGTGATACCTGGGGAAAAGAAAGCCAGGAAACGAGGGGGAAAAGGGTGGAGGCGACTTCG